>NC_000024.10:10747305-10809671 GCF_000001405.40 Homo sapiens | reverse complement strand
TCGGAACTGGGATGGAATGGAATGGAGTGGAGTGGGTGGATTGGAGTTGAATGGAATGGAGTGGAATGGAATGGAATGGAATGGAATGGAATGGAATGGAATGGAATGGAATGGAATAGAATGGAATGCATAATTAAATGTGAGTTCTGATTGGGCCACTCCACTCCTGTCTGGGTGACAGAGTGAGAACGCATCGAAATAAAGGAATGGAATGGAGTAGAATGGATTGGAATGGAGTGAAGGAGAATGGAGAACTGTGAAATGGAATAGAGTGGAGTGGTACAGAACAGAACGGAATGGAATGGAATGGAATGGAATGGAATGGAATGGAATGGAATGGAATGGAGTGGAGTGAATTTGAGTGGAGTGGATTAGAGTGCAGGGGAATTGAATGGAATGGAAAGGAGTGGAGTTGAATGGAGTGGAGTGGAATGAAGTGGAATAGAGTGATATGCAGAGGAATAGAGTGGAATGGAATGAAGGGGAATGGAGTGAAGTGGAATGGAAAAGATTGGAATGGAATGGAATGGAATGGAATGGAATGGAATGGAATGGAATGGAACAGAATCGAAAGAAACGCAGTGGAGTGGCATGGAGTTGAGTGGAGTGGATAGGAGTGCACTGGAATGGAATGGAATGGAACGGAATGCAATGGAGTGGACTGGAGTGGAATGGAATGGAGTGGAGTGGAGTGGGGTGGATTGGAGTTGAATGGAATGGAGTGGAATGGAATGGGATGGATTGTAATGGAATGGAATGGTGAAATGAAATGTGAGCAAAGATTATGCCACTGCACTCCAGTCTGGTTGAAATAGTGAGATCCAGTTGAAATAACGGAATGGAAAGGAATGGAGTAGAAGGAAATGGAATGGAGTGCAGTGGAATGGAGTGCAGTGGAATCGAGTGGAATGGAAAAGAGAGTAATGAAATGGAAAGGAAGGGAATGGAATGGAACAGAGTTGAATGGAGTGGAGTGAATTTGAGTGGAGTGGATCGGTGTGCAGTGGAATGAAATGGAATGGAATGGAGTGGAGTGCAGTGGAGTGGAGTGGAATGGAGTGGAATGGAATGGAATGGAGTGGAGTGGAGTGGAATGGAATGGAGAGGAATGCAATGGGTTGGAATGGATTGGTGAAAGGAAATGTGAGCTAAGATTGTGCTAGTGCACACCTCTCTGGGTGACAGAGTGAGATCCCGTCAAAATAAAGGAATGGAATGGAATAGAATGGAATGAAATGGAGTGGAGTTGATTGGAGAAGAATGAAATGGAATGGAGTGAAATGTCACTCCTGTCTGGGTGACACAGAGACATTCAGTCGAGATAAAGGAATGGAATGGAATAGAGTAGAATGGAATGTAATGGATTGGAGTGGAATGGAATGCAGTGGAATGGAGGGAAGTGGAGTTGATTGGATTGGAGTGGAATCGAGTGGAGTGAAATGGACTGGAATGGATTGGAATGGAATATTATGGAAAGGAGTGGAAGGGAAAGGAATGGCTTGGAGTGTTTAGAGTGGAATGGAATGGGGTGGAGTGGAATGCAGTGGAGTGGAATGGAATGGAATGTAGTGAAATCGAATGGAGTGGAAGGGAATGGAATTGACTGTAGTGGAGTGGAGTGGAGTGGATCAGAGTGCAGTGGAATGGAATGGAATGGAATGCAATGGAATGGAATGCAATGGAAAGGAATGGGTTGTAAAGGTGAAATGAAAAGTGAGCTAAGACTGTGTCACTGCACTTCAGTCCGATGACAAAGTGAGATCCAGTCGAAATAAAGAAATGGAATGGAACAGAGTTGCCTGTTATGGAAAGGAGTGGAGTGTAATTGAATGGAATGGAGTGGAATGGAGTGGAGTGGACTGGAATGGAGTGGAGTGGAATGGAGTTTAATGGAAAGGAATGGAATGGAGAGAATTTGAATAGAATGGATTAGAAAGGAGTGAAGTGGAGGGGAACGGAATGGAGTGGAGTGGAGTGGTTTGGAGTTGAATGGAATGGAGTGGAATAGAATCAAGGGGAGTGGAATGGAGTGGAGTGGAACAGGAAGAAAAGGAGTGGAATGCAGTGGAGTCGAGTGGAAAGGAGTTGAATTGAATGAAATGGAGTGGAGTGGAATGGAGAGAAGTGGAATAGAAAGGAGTGGAATGGAATGGAATGGAATGGAACGGAATGGAATGGAATTAAACGGAATGGAAATAAATGCACAGGAGTGGCGTGGACTTGAGTGGAGTGGGCAGGAGGGCAGTGGAATGGAATGCAATGGAACAGAATGCAATGGAGTGGACAGGAGTGGAAAGGAATGGAGTGGAAAGGAATGGAATGGAATGGTGAAATGAAATGTGAGCTAAGATTGTGCCACTGCACTCCATTCTGGTTGAAAGAGTGAGATCCAGTTGAAATAAAGGAATGGAAAGAAATGGAGTAGAATGGAATGGAATGGAGTGGAGTGGAATGGAATGGAGAGGAATGGAATGGAAAGGAAGGGAACAAAATGGAACGGAGTTGAGTGGAGTGGAGTGAAGTTGAGTGGAGTGGATGAGAGTACAGTCGAACGAAATGGAATGGAATGGAGTGGAGTGGAGTGCAGTGCAGTGGAGTGGAGTAGAATGGAGTGGAATGGAATGGAATGGAGTGCAGTGTAGTGGAGTGGAATGGAACGGAGTGGAATGCAATGGGATGGAACGGATTGGTGAAATGAAATGTGAGCTAAGATTGGGCTACTGCACTCCTGTCTGGGTGACAGAGTGCGATCCCATCAAAATAAAGGAATGGAATCGAACAGAATGGGAAGGAATGGAGTGGAGTGGATTGGAGAAGGGTGAAGTGGAATGGAGTGGAATGGTACAGAGCGGAATGGAACGGAACGGAGTGGAATAGAGTGAATTTGAGTGGAGTGGATTGGAGTGCAGGGGAATTGAATGGAAAGGAATGGAGTGGAGTGGAGTGGAGAGGAGTGGAGTGGACTGGAATGAAGTGGAAAGGAGTGAAATGCAAAGGAATGGAGAGGAATGGAATGGAGTGGAGTGGAATGGAACGCAATGGATTGGAGTGGAATGGAACAGAACGGAATGCAATGGAATGGAACGTAAAGGAATGGAGAAGAATGGAGTGGAGTTGAATGGAGTGCATCAGACTGCAAAGGAATGGAAGGGAACGCAATAGAATGGAATGGAATGGAAGGGAACACAATAGAATGAAATGGAATGGAATGGAATAGAATGGAAAAGAATGGAATGGTTAATTAAATGTGAGTTAAGATTGGGCCACTGCACTCCTGTCTGGGTGACAGAGTGAGAACCTGTCGAAATAAAGGAATGGAATGGAATGGAGTAGAATGTAATGTAATGGTCTGCATTGGAATGGAATGGAAAGGAATGAAAAGGAATAGAATGGAGTGGAGTGGAGGGGAATGGAGTGAAGTGGATAGGAGTGGAGTGGAATGAAGTGGAATGGAATGCAGTGGAGTGGAGCAGAATTGAATGGAACAGGATGGAATGGAATAGAACGGAGTAGAGGAGAGTGGAAAGGAGCTCAGTGCAGTGGTTCAGAGTGCATTGGAATGGAACGGAATGGAATGGAATGCAATGGAATGAAATGGAATGGAATGGAATGTTATGCAATGGAATGGTTAATGAAATATGAGCTAAGATTGGGCTACGGCACTCCAGTCTGGGTGACACGTGAGATTCAGTCGAAATAAAGGAATAAAATGGAATGGATTGGAGTGGAATGGAAAGCAGTGGAATGGAGTGTAGTGCAGTTGAATGGAGTAGAGTGGAATCAAGTGAAGTGGAATGGAGTGGAATGGAGTGAAATGGAATGGAATGTAGTGGAATCGAATGGAATGGAGTGTAATGGAATGAAGTGGAGAGGAATGGAATGGAAAGTATCGGAATGGAATGGAACCGAAACGAAGGGTGTGAAGTAGAGTGAAGTGAATTGGAGTTGAGTGGAGTGCAAGGGAGTGCAGTGGAAAGGAATGGAATGGAATGCCATGGAATGGAATGGAATGGAATGCTGAAGGAAATGTCAGCTAAGATTGTGCCACTGCACTCCAGGCTGGGTGACACAGTGAGAACCATTCAAAATAAAGGAATGGAATAACATGGAGTAGAATGCATTGGAATGGTGTGGACCGGAAGGGAACGGAATGGAACAGAGTGTAGTGCAGTGCAGTGGAGTGGAACTGAGTGGAGTGGATTGGAGTGCAGTGGAATGGAAAGGAATGGAATGGAATGAAACGAATGGAGAGGATTGGAATGGAATGGAGAGGAATAGAGTGGAATGGAATGGAATGTAGTGGAATGGAATGAAATGGAGAGGAATGGAATGGAGTGGAATGCAACGGAATGAATTGGAACGGAATGGAACGAAAAGGAATGGTGTGAAATAGACTGAAGTGCAGTGGAGTTGAGTGGAGTGCATGGGAGGGCAGTGGAAAGGAACGGAATGCAATGCCATGGAATGGAATGGAATGGAATGGAATGGAATGGAATGGAATGGAATAAGATGCCATGGAATGGAATGAAATGGTGAATGAAATGTCAGTCAAGATTGGGCCACTGCACTGCAGTCTGGGTGACACAGTGAGATCCATTCAAAATAAAGGAATGGAATGGCGTGGAGTAGAATGCAATGGAATGGTGTACACTGGAACAGAATGGAACAGAGCAGAATGTAGTGGAGTGGAGTGGAGTGGATAAGAGTGCAGTGGAATGGAATGGAATGGAATGGAATGGAAGGAAAGGATTGGAGTGGAGTGGAATGGAGTGGAGTGGACCGGAGTGGAATGGAGTCGAGTGGAGTGGAATGCAATGGTGTGGAATTTAAAGGAATGCAATGGAATGGAATGGAATGGAATGGAATGGAATGGAATGGAATGGAATGGAATAGAATGGAATGGAATGGAATGGTGAAATGAAATATGAGCTAAGTTGGTGCCACTGCACTCCAGTCTGGGTGATAATGTGAGATAGTGTCAAAATAACGGAATAGAAAGGAATGCAGTAGAATGGAATAAAATGAAGACGAGTGGAATGGAGTGTAGTGAAATGGAATGCAGTGGACGGGAATGGAATGGAATGGAACTGAATGGATCGGAGTGGAGTGGAGTGAAATTGAGTGGAGTGGAACAGCATTCAGTGGAATGGAATGGAATGGAGTGGATTGGAGTGAGGGGCGTGGAGTGGAGTGGAGTAGAGTGGAATGGAGTGGAATGGAATGGAGTGGAGTGGAATGGAATGGAACAAGATGGAAAGGAATGGAATGGAATGGATTAGAAAGGAACAAAAAGGAACGTAGTGGAGTGGAGTGGAGTTGATTGGAGTGGATAGGAGTGCAGTAGAATGTAATGGAATGAAATGGAATGGAATGGAAAGGAATGGTTACAGAAATGTGAGCTAAGATTGAGCAACTGCACCTTAGTCTTGGAGACAGAGTGAGATCAAATCGAAATAAAGGAATGGAATAGAGTGAAGTAGAATGGAAAGGAAAGGAATGGAGTGGATTGGAATGCAGTGGAATAGAGTAGAGTGGAGTTGAACGAAGTAGAGTGGAATATAGTGGACTGGAATGGAGTGGAATGGAGGGGAATGGAAAGTCATTGATTAGAGTGGAAATAATGGAAGAATGGAATGGAGTGGATTGGAGTGGAGTGCAGTGGAGTTGAGTGGAGTGGATCAAAGTGCAGTGGAGTGGAATGGAATGGAGTGTAGTGGAATGGAATGGAATGGAATGGAATGGAATGGAGGGTAATGGAATTGAATGGAGTGGATTGGAGAGGATTGTAGTGCACTGGAATGGAGAGGAGTGGAATGGAGTGGAATGGAATGGAAGCGAATGGAATAGAATGGAGTGGAATGGAATGGAATTGAGAGGAATGGAATGCAGTGGAGTGGACTAGTGTGGAATGGAGTGGAATGCAGTGAAATGGAGTCAAGTGTAATGGCGGGGAGAGGAATGGAATAGAGTGGAATGGAATGGAATAGAAAAGAACGGAATGAAACGGAGTGGAGTGGAGTTGAGTGGAGTGGGGCGGAGTGCATTGGAATGGAATAGAATGGAGTGGTTTGGACTGGAATGGAGTGAATTGGGGCGGAAAGGAATGGACTGGTTTGGAATGGAATAGAGTGGAGTGGAATGAAGTGGAGTGGAGAGGAATGAAGTGGAGTGGAGCAGAGTGGAGTGGAATGGAATGCACTAGAATGCAGTGGAATGCAATAGGGTGGAATGGAATGGAATGGAAAGGAGGGATGTGTACAGGAAAGGAATGGAATGGAATGGAATGGAACAGAACGGAATGGCCTGAAGTGGATTTAAGAGCACTTCATCAGAGTGGAGTGGAGTAGACTAGAGTGGATTAGAGTGGAGTGGAGTGGAATGGAGTGAAATGGAGTGAAATGAAATGGAGTGGAATGGAGTGGCGTTGAATTTAATGGAGTGGAAAGGAATGGAAAGGAACAGAATGGAATGGAATGGAGTGGAGAGGAGTGAATTTGAGTTTGGTGGATCGCAGTGCAGTGGAATGGAAAGGAGAGAAGTGGAGTGGAGAGGAGTGGAGTGGAATGGAGTGGATTGTAGTGGAAAGGAGTGGAATAGAGTGGAGTGGAGTGGAATGGAGTGAAGTGGAATGGAGTGGAGAGGAAAGGAGTGAAATAGAGTGGAATGGAATGGAAATGAATTGAGTGGAATGGAATAGAATGGAGGGGAAAGGACAGGAATGGATTGGAATGCAACGGAACGGAACGGAGTGGAGTGGAGTGAACTTGAGGGTAGTGGCTCAGAGTGCAGTAGAAAGGAATGGAATGGAATGGAATGGAATGGAATGGCAAGGAAAGAAATGGTGAATGGAATGTGATTTAAGATTGGGCCAGTGCACACCAGTCTGGCTGACACAGTGAGATCCAGTCAAAATAAAGGAATGAAATGTCATAGAGTAGAACGGAATGGAATGGTGTGGACTGGAATGGAACGGAAAGGAATGGAGTGGAGTGGAATGGAGTTGAGTGGAGTGGATCGAAGTGCAGTGGAAAGGAAAGGAGTGGAATGGAATGAAAGGAGTGGAATGCATTGGAATTGAGTGGAGTGGAACGGAGTGGGGTGTAAAAAAGTGGAGTGGAATGGAATGGAGTGGAATGGAGTGCAATATAATGGAACTTAGTGGAATCGAATGGAATGGAGTGGAATGGAATGGAGTGGATTGCAGTGGGGTGGACTGGAGTTGAGTGGAGTGAATTGGAGTACAGTGGAATAGAATGGAATGGAATGGAATGGAATGGAATGGAATGGAATGGAATGAAATGGAATGGAAAGGAATGAATGGAAATGGAATGAAATGGAGAGGAATAGAGAGGATTGGAAAAGATTGCAGAAGAGTGGAACGGAGTGGAGTGGAATTAAGTGCAAAGGAGAGCAATGTAATGGAATGGAATGGCGAGGAATGGAATGGAATGGAGTGGAATGGAATGGAATGGAATGAAGTGGAGAGGAGTAAAGTGGAATGGAGTGGAATGGAATGAAATGGAGTCAAGTGGAATACATTGGAGTGGAATGGAATAGAGTGGAATGGAAGGGAACAGAAAGGAATGGAAGGGAACGGAGTGGAATGGAGTGGAGTGGAGTGGAGTTGAGTTCAGTGGAGTGGATCGGAATGCAGTGTAATGGAATGGAATGAAATGGAGTGGAATGCAATGAAATGGAATGGAATGGAATGGAATGGAGTGGTTTGGACTGGAATGGAGTGGAGTGGAGTGGAATGAAATGAACAGGAGTGGAATGGGATGGAGTGAAGTGGAATGAAGTTTAGTGGAGTGAAATGGAGTGGAGTGGAGCAGACTGGAGTGGAATGGAATGCATTGGATTGGAGAGGAATGGAATGATGTGGAATGGAATGAATGGAATGGAATGGAATAGAATGGAATGGAATGGTGTGGAATGAAAAGGAATGGAATGGAATGGAATGGAATGGAATGGAATGGAATGGAATGGAATGGAATGGAATGGAATGGAATGGAATCGAATGGAATCGAATGGAATGGAATGGAACAGAATGGCGTTTAATAGATTTGAGAGGACTGGATCAGAGTGGAGTGGAGTGGACTGTTATAGAGTGGAATGGAGTGGAATGTATTGGAATGGAGTGAAATGGAGTGGGGTGGAATGGAGTGGAGTGGAATGGAATGGAGTGGAATGGAACAGTATGGAACAGAACCAAACGGAATAGAATGGAGTGGAGTGGAGTGAATTTCAGTGGAGTGGATCGGAGTGCACTGGAATGGAATGGAATGCAATGCAATGGAATGGAATGGAAGGGAATGGAATGCAATGGTGGGGAATGGAATGGAGATGTGTGGGGTGAAATGGAGTGGAGTCAGGTAGAATAGAGTGGAATTGTTTGGAATGCAATGGAATGGAATGGAATGGAATGGAGTGGAATGGAATGGTGAAATGAAATGTGAGTGAAGATTGTGCCAGTCAACACCAGTAATTTTGACATAATGATATTCAGTCGAAATAAAGCAAATGAATCGAATGGAATGGAATGGCGTGGACTGGAATGGAATGGATAGTAATGGAGTGGACTGGAGTGCAAAGGAGGGGAGTGGACTGGAGTGGAGTAGAGTGGAATAGAGGGTAATGGAATGGAATGGAATGGAATGGAATGGAATTGAATGGAGTGGAATGGAAAGGAATGGAGTGGAATGGAGTGGATTGGAGTGGAACCGAGAGGATTGGAATGGAGTGCAGTGGAATGGGGTGGAATGGATTGGAAGGGAATGGAGTGGATTGAAATGGAATGGAGTGGAATAGAGTGGAGTGGAATGGAGTGGAATGGAATGGAGTGGAATGGAGTAGAATGGAATGGAGAGGAACGGTGCAGAATGGAATGGAATGGAGTGGAGTGGAATGGAATGGAATGCTTTGGAATTCAATTGAGTGGACTAGAATGGAGTGGAGTGGAGTGGAATGGAATGGAATGTAAAGGAATGATATAGAACAGAGCAAAAAGGAGTGGAGTCAAGTGGCATGGAGTTGAGTGAAATGGATCGGAGTGCAGTGGAAGGGAATGGAATGGAATGAAATGGAATGCAATGGAATGGAATGTAGTGGAGTGGAGTGGAGTAGAATGGAAATTAATGGAATGGAATGGAATGGAATGGAATGGAATGGAATGGAATAAAATGGAATACAATGGAATGGAATGGAACGGAGTGAAGTAGAGTGGAGAGTATTTGAGTGGAGTGAATGGGAGTGCAGTAGAATGGAATGGAGTGGACTGGAGTGGAATGAAATGGAATTGAGAAGGGCGGAGTGCCGTGGAGTGGAGTGGAATGGAGTGGAATGGAATGCAATGGAGTGGAGTGGAATGAAATGGAGTGGAGTGGACTGGAGTTTAGGGGAGTGGAATGCAATGGAATGGAATAAAATGGAATGAAATGGAGTGGAGTGGAGTGGAGTGGAGTGAAATAGATTTTAGTGGAGTGGAGGGGAATGTAGTGGATTTGAGGGTGTGGAGACGAGTGGAGTGAAAATGAGTGGAGTGGATCGGAGTGCAGTTGCATGGAATGTAATGTAATATAGTAGACTGGGGTGGATAGGAATGGAATTGAGTGGATTGGAATGGAGTGGATTAGAATGGAATGGAATAGAATGGAAAAGAAAGGAATGGAATGGAGAAGAATGGCATGGAACGGAAAGCAGAGGAGTGGAGTGGAGTGGAGTGGAGTGCCTCAGAATGCAGTGGAATAGAATGGAATTCAATGGAATTGTATGGAACGGAAAGGAAGGGAATGGAATGGGGAATCAAATGTGTGCTAAGATAGGGCCACTGCACACCATTCTGAGTGACAGAGTGAGATCCAGTAGAAATAAAGGAATGCAAAGGAATGGAGAAGAATGGAATGGAATGGCATGGAGTGGAATGGAAGGGAACGGAAAGGAAAGGAATGGAGTGGAGTGGTGTAGAGTAGAGTGGAGTTGAGTGGAGTGGCTCGGAGTGCGGTGAAATAGAATGGAATGGAATGTAGTGGAGTGGAGTGGAATGGAATGGAATGGAGTGGAGTGGAGTGGAATGGAATGGAGTGGAGTGGAGTGGAGAGGAATGAAATAGAATGAAATGGATTGGAATGGAATGGAATGGTGAAATGAAACGTGAGCTAAGATTGTCCCACTGCACTACAGTCTGGGTGACAGAGTGAGATCCAGTCGATATAAAGGAATGGAATGGAATGGAGTATAATGGAATGGAAAGGAGTGGAGTGTAATAGAGTAGAGTGGAACGGAGTCGAGTAGAATGGAACTGAATGGAACAAAATGGAATGGAATGGAGTGGAGTGGAGTGGAATGAAGTTGATTGGACTGGATTGGAGTGCAGGGGAATGGAATGGAATGGAATAGATTGGAGTGGTCAGGAGTGGAGTAGGGTGGAATGAAGTGGAATGGAGTGAAATGGAGTGGAAAGGAGTGTAATGGAGTGGAATTGAGTGGAATTGAATGGAGTGCAGTGGAGGGGAATGGAATGGAATGGACTGGAATGTAATGGAACGGAAAGAGTTTGAATGGCAGAGAGTTCAATAGAATGGAATGGAATGGAAAGGAATGGAATGATTAATGAAGTGTGAGCTAAGGTTCTGCCACTGAACTCCTGTCTGGGTGAGAGAGTTAGATCCTGTCAAAATGAATGAATGGAAGGGAAAGGAGTAGAATGGAATGAAATGGTGTGCATTGGTTTGGAAGGGTATGGAAAGGAATGGAATGGAAGTGAAGGGAATGGAATGTAGTGGAGTGGAGTGGTGGTTAATGGAGTAAAGTGGAAAACAGAGTTGTGGAATGAAATGGAATTGAATGGAGTGGAGTGGAGTGGAATGGAACATAATGGAATGGTTTGGAAGGGAACAGAATAGAACAGAGTGGAGTGGAGTTCAGTGGAGTGGATCGGAATTCAGAGAAATGGAATGGATTGCAATGGAATGGAATGGAATGGAATGGAGTGCAATGGAATGGTTAATGAAATGTGAGCTGAGATGGGGCCACAGCACTCTAGTCTGCGTAACAGAGTGAGATTCAGTCGAAATAAAGGAACAGAAAGGAATGGAGTGTAGTGGAATGGAATGCACTGGAATGAAGTGCAGTGCAGTTGAATGGACTCGAGTGGAATCGAGTGGAGTGGAATGAAGTGGAAGGGAGTGGAATGGAATGCCATGGAAAGGAGAGGAATGGAAAGGAATAGCGTGGAGTTTAGTGGAGAGAAGTGGAATGGTGTGGAGTTAAATTCAGTGGAGTGGAATTGATAGGAATGGAATGGAATGGAATGGAATGGAATGGAATGGAATGGAATGGAATGGAATGGAATGGAATGGAATTGAGCGAAGTTGAGTGGAGTGGATCAGAGTGCGGTGAAATGGAATGGATTGTAGTGGAATGGAATGGAATGGAATGCAATGGAATGCAATGGAATGGAATGAAAAGGTGAAATGAAATGTGAGCTAAGATTGTGCCACTGCACTTCACTCTGCTGACCAAGAGAGATCCAGTCGAAATAAAGGAATGGAAAGGAATGGAATTTCATGGAATACAATGCAGTGGAGAGGAATGGAATGTAGTAGAATAGATGGGAGTGTAGTGGAATGGAGTGAAATGGAATGGAAAGGAGTGGAATGGAATGGATTGGATTGGTATGGAGTGGAGTGGAGTGGAGTGGAACGGAGTGGAGTGGAATGGAATGGAAAAGAGTGGAATGCAATGGAATGGAATGGAGTGGAATGAAATGGAATGGAGTGGAATGGAATGGAAAGGAAAAGAACAAAAAGAACGGAGAGAAGTGTTGAGGAGTGAAGTTGAGTGGAGTTGATGGGGGACAGTGGTATGAAATGGAATGGAATAGAGAGGAGTGGAGTGGAGAAGAGTGGAGTGGAGTGGTATGGAATGGAATGGAGTGGAATGGAAAGGAATGGATTGGAATGGAGTGGAGTGGAGAGGAATGGAAAGGAGTGGAGTGGAATGGAGAGCAATGGAGTGGAATGGAATGGAATTGAATTAAGTGGAATGGAATAGAATGGAGTGGAATGGAGTGGCACGGAATGGAACAGAACAGAATGGAATGGAGTGGATTGGAATGGAGTTGAGGGGAGTGGATTGGAGTGCAGTGGAATGGAATGCAATGGAATGGAATGGAATGTATTGGAAAGAAATGATAAAGGAAATATGAAATAAGATTGGCCACTGCACACCAGTGTGGGTGTCACAGTGAGATCCAGTCTAAATAAAGGAATGGAATCGCATGGAGTAGAATTGAATGGAATGGTGTGGAGTGGAATAAAACATAATGGAACGGAATGTAGTGGAGTGAAGTGAAATGGAGTGGATTTGAATGCAGTGGATTGGAGTGCACTGGAATGGAAAGGAATGGAATGCATTGAAATGAGTGGAGTAGAGTGGAATGGATGGGAGTGGAGTGGAGGGGAGTGGAATGGAATGGTGTGGAAACGAATGGATTGGAATTGTGAAATGAAATATGAGCTAAGTTGGTGCCACTGCACTCCAGTCTGGGTGACAGTGTGAGAACTATTCGAAATAAAGGAATGGAATGGAATGCATTAGAATGGAAGGGAATGCAGTGGAGTGGAATGGAGTGGAGTGCAATTCAATGCAGTGGACTACACGGAATGGAACGGAACGGAATCGATCGGAGTGGAGTGCTGTGAAGTTGAATTGAGTGGGTCAGATGGCAGTGGAATAGAATGGAATGGAATGGAATAGAATGGAATGGAATGGAGTGGAGTGGCGTGGAGTGGAACAGAATGGAGTAGAATGGAATGGAGTGGAGTGGAATGGAATGGAATAGGACGGAATGGAATGGAATGGAAAGGAATAGAATGGAACAGAACAGAATGGAGTGGACTGGATTGAAATGGAGTTGAGTAGAGTGGATCGGAATCCAGTGGAACGGAACGGAATGGAATGGAATGGAATGGAATGGAATGGAATGGAATGGAATGGAATGGAATGGAATGGAATGGAATGGAATGGAATGGAGTGGAATGGAATGGGAAATGAAATGTGAGCTACAGTTGGGCCAATGCACTTTAGACTTGGTGACAGAGTGAGATCCAGTCGAAATAAAGGAATGGAATGGAATGGAGTGGAGTGGAATGGAATTCAATGGAATGGAGATGAGTGGAGTTGAATGGAGTGGAGTGGAATCGAGCGGAGTGGAATGGAGTGGAATGGAATGGAATATGGTGGAATCAAATGGAATGAAGTCAAAAGGAACGGATTGGAGTGGAGTAGATTGGAGTGGAATGGAGTGGAATGAAGGGAAATGGAGTGGAGTGGAATGTAATGGAACGGAATGGAATCAAATGGATGGACTGGAGTAGAGTGAAGTGCAGTGTACTTGAGTGGAGTGGATGGGAGTGCAATGGAATGGAATGGAATGGAATGGAACGGAACAGAATGGGGAGCAGTGGAGTGGAGTGGAGTGGAGTGGAATGGAATGGAACGGAACGGAACGGAATGGAACGGAACGGAACGGAACGGAACGGAACGGAATGGAATGGAATGGAATGGAATGGAATGGAACAGAATGGAATAGAATGGATTGGAATTGTTTGTTGAAATGAAATGAGAGCTAAGATTGTGCCACAGCACTTCAGTCTGGTGACAAAGTCAGATCCAGTCGAAATAAAGGAATGGAATGGAATGTAGAAGCATGGAATAAAATGCAGTGGAGTGGAATGGAATGGAATGGAACACAGTGGAGTGGAATGAAATGGAGTGGAATGTAGTGGAATGGAATGGAATGGAATGGAATGGAATGGAATGGAATGGAATGGAAATGGAGTGGAGTGGAAAGTAATGGAAAGCATTGAAATGGAGTTGAGAGGAGTAGAGTTGGAGTGCAGTGGAATGGAGTCAAAGGGAGTGGAAGGGAGTGGTGGAGAGTGGAATGGAATGCAGTGGAATTGGATACAATGGAGTGGAATGGAATGGAGCGGAGAGAAATGGAGTCGAGTGGAGTGGAATGGATAGGAAAGGAGTGGTATACAGTGGAATGGAGTGGAATGGAGTTCAATGGAGTGAAACGGAGTGGAGTGGAATGGAGTGCAGTGGAATGGAAATAGGTGGAATGGAACACAAAGGAACATAATGGAAAGGAAGAGAATGAAATGGATTGGAGTGATGTGGAGTTGATTGAAGTGCAACGTAGTGCAGTGGAATACAATGGAATGGAAAGGGAAGCAATGGAGTGAAGTGGAGTGGAATGGAATTGAGTAGAGTGGAGTGGAATGTGTAGGAGTTTAATAAAATGGTGTGGAATGGAATGGAATGGAATGGTGAAATGAAATGTGAGCTAAGATTGTGTGACTGCATTGAATTCAGGATGAAAGAGTGAGATGAAGTGAAAATAAAGGAATGGAATGGAATGCAGTACAATGCAATGGAATAGAACGGAGTCGAATGGAGGGGAGTGGAATGGAATGGATTGGAATGGAATGGAAAAGAAAGGAAGGGAAGGGAATGCAAAACAGTGGAGTGCAGTGAAGTTGAGTGGAGTGGATCACAGTGTAGTGGAATGGAATGGAATGGAATGGAATGGAATGGAATGGAATGGAATGGAATGCTGAAATGAAATGTGAGCTAATACTGTGTCATTGCACTCCAGCCTGAGCTGAGATGGTGCCACTGCACTCCATCCTGTGTGACAGAGTGAGATGTCTTTGAAAGAAAGCAATGGAATGGAAAGGAGTGAAATGTAATGAAATGGAGTGGAGAGGAGTACAGTGGAATGGAGTGGAGTAGAGTGAAGAGTAGTGGAATGCAGTGAAATGGGACAATGGAATGGAATGTAGCGGGGTGGAGTTTAGTGGAATGGAGTAGTATGTACTGGAATGTAATGGAATTGAATGTCATGGAGCGGAGTGGAGAGGAGAGGAGTGGATTGGAATGGAATGGAATGGAATGGAATGGAATGGAATGGAATGGAATGGAACAGGATAGAATGGAGCGGAGTGGAGTGGAGTAGAGTGTACTGGAATGGAATGGAATTTTAGGGAATGGAATTGAATGAAATGCTATGGTGAAACGAAATGTGAGCTGAGATTGTTGCACTGCACTATAACGTGGCTGAAAGAATGAGATCCTGTTGAAAGAAAGGAATGGAATGCAGTGGAGTGGAATGGAGTGGAGCGGAGCGGTGTGGAGAGGAGGGGAGTGGAGTAAAGTGGAGTGGAGCGGACTGGAATGGAGTAGAGTGGAGTGGAGTGGATGTGAATGGAGTGGAATAGAATGTTATGGAGTAGAAAGTAATCGAATGGAGTGGATTGGAGTAGAGTCAAGTGCAGGGCATTGGAGTGGAATGGAGTGGAATGGAATGGAATGGAGTGGAATGAAGTGGAGTGGAGTAGAGTGGATTGGAGTGGAATGGAATGGAATGGAGTGGAGTGGAGTGGAGTAGAATTGAATGCAATGGAATGGAATGGTGAAATGAAATGTGAGCTGATACAGTGCCATTGCACTCCAGCCTGAGCTGACTGTGTGCCACTGCATTCCAGCCTGTGTGACAGAGTGAGATGCTGCCGAAAGAAATAAATGGAATGTTATGCAGTTAAATGGACTGGAATGGAATGGAGTGTAGTGGAGAGGAGTGGAGGGGAGTGGAGTGGAGTAGAGTGGAGAGTAGTGGAATGGAGTGGAATGGGATGGAATGGAATGGAATGTGGTGGAGTGGAGTGGAGTGGAATGGAGTACCATGGACTGGAATGTAATGGAATAGAATGGCATTGAATGGAGTGGAGAGGAGTGGAGTGGATTAGAATTTAAAGGAATGGAATGGAATTTACTGGAAGGGAATCGAATGGAGTGGAGTGGAGTGGAATGGAATGGGATGTAATGCAGTGGAGTGGAGAGAAACGTAGAGGAGTAGAGTGGACTGGAATGGAATGGAATGTAAAGAATTGGAATGGATTGGAATGGAGTGGAGTGTAATGGAGTGGAATTGAATGGAAGGATTGGAGTGGAGTGCAGTGGAATGGATTGGGGTGGAATTGAATGGGATGGAATGGAAAGAAGTGGAGTGGAGTGGAGTTGAGTAGAATGAAGTGGAATGGAATGGGATGGAGTAGAGAGGAGTAGAATGGAGGGGAGTGGAGTGAAATGGAGTGGAGTGGAGTGGACTGAAATGGAGTGGAGTTTAAAAGTATAGAATGGAGGGGAATGGAATGGAAGGCTATGGTGAAATGAAATATATGCTGATATTCTTCCACTGCACCCCAATATGTGTGACAGAGTGACATAATTTCAAAGGAAAGGAATGGAAGGGAATGGAGGGGAATGGAATGGAGTGGAGTAGAGAGGACTGGATTGGACTAGAGTGGAGTGGAGTGGAGGGGAATGCAGTGGAATAGAATGGGATGGAGTGGAATGGAATGGAGTGGAGTGGAGTGGAGAGCAGTGGAGTCAAGTGGAGAGCATTGGAGTGGATTGGAGTGGAGTGGAATGGAATAGAATGGAATGGAATGGAACGGAATGGAATGGAATTTAGT
The DNA here is from genome assembly GCF_000001405.40 of Homo sapiens. Taxonomy (NCBI): domain Eukaryota; kingdom Metazoa; phylum Chordata; class Mammalia; order Primates; family Hominidae; genus Homo; species Homo sapiens. The sequence goes on along the minus strand of NC_000024.10, from coordinate 10,793,130 downwards.
AGAGTGGAGAGGAATGGAATGGAGTGGAGAGGAATGGAATGGAATGGAACGGAAAGGAGTGGAATGGAATGGAATGGATTGCAATTTAATGGAATAGAATGGAATGCAATGGAATACAATGGAATGGAATGGAATGGAGTGGAATGGGATGCAATAGAATGCAATGGAACGGAATGCAATTGAATACAGTGCAATGGAATGCAGTGGAATAGAATGGTGATATGTAATATGAGCTCAGATTGAGCCACTGCACTCCAGCCTGGGTGAGAGAAAGGGAGTCTTGTGAAAGAAAGGAATGGAATTGAAGTGTGTGGAATGGAATATAAGGGAATGGAATGGAATGGAATGGAATGGAATGGAATGGAATGGAATGGAATGGAATGGAATGGAATGGAATGGAATGGAGTGGAGTGAAGTGGAGTTGACTGGATTGGAATGGAGAGGAATGGAACGGGATGGAGTGGCATGGAGTGTAGTGGAATGGAGTGGAGTGGCATGGAATTGGATGGAATGGAATGGAGTGGATTGGAGTGGAGTGGAGTGGAATGGAATGGAATGAAATCAAATGGAATGGAATGGAATAGTGAAACGAAATGTGAGCTGATATTGACCAATGCAGTGCAGCCTTTATGACAGAGGGAGATCCTGTCAAAAGAAAGGAATGTAATGGAATTGAGTGGAATGGAATGGAATGGAATGGAATGGAGTGGGATTGAGTGGAGTGGAATGGAGTGGAATGGAATGGGAAAGAATGGAATGAAGTGGAGTAGAATGGACAGGAATGGAATGGGAAGGAATGGAATGGAGTGGCGTGGAGTGGATTGGATTGGAATGGGGTGGATTGGAATAGAGTGGAGTGGAGTGGAATGAAGTGGAATGGAATGGAATGGAATGGAGTTGAGTGGAGTGCAGAAGAGTAGGATGGAATGGTATGGAATGGAAAAGAATGGAATGGTAAATTGAAACGTGAGCTGAGATTGTGTCATTGCACTCCAGCCAGGTTGACAGTGTGAGATGCTGTTGAAAGAAATATATGTAATGGAATGGAGTGAAAAGGAATGGAATAGAATGGAAAGTAAGGGAATGGAATGGAATGGATTGGAGAGGAGTGCAGTGGAGTCGAGTAGAGTAGAGTGGAGAGGAGTGGAATGGAGTGAAATAGGATGGCATGGAATGGAATGATGGGGAGTGTAGTGTAGTGGAATGGAATGGAATTTAGTGGAATGGATTGGAATGGAATGGAATGGAATGGCGTGCAGTGGAATGGAGTGGATTGCAATTAAAAGGAATGTAATGGATTGAAATACATTGGAATGGTGAAATGGAATGTGAGCTGAGATTGTGCCCCTGCACTCGAGCGTGAGAAACAGAGTGAGATACTTACAAATAAAAAGAATGGAATGCAATAGAGTTTAATGGAATGGAATGAAGAGTAGTTGACTGGAGAGGAGTGGAGTGAAGGGGAATGGAATGGTAGGGAGTGGAATGGAATGGAGTGGAGTGCAGTGAAGTGGAGTGAAATAGAGAGCAAAGCAATGGGATGGAATGGCGTGAAGTGAAGTGGAGTTGAGTGGAGTGGAATGGAATGGAGTTGTGAAATGAAATGTGAGCTGAAATTGCGCCACTGCACTGCAGCCAGGGTGACAGAGTGAGATTTTCGTGACACAAAGTGATGGAATGGTATGGAACGGAATGGAGTGGAGTAGAGTGAAGTGGAGTGGAGTGCTGTGGATTGGAGTGGAATAGAGTGGAAAGGGATGGGAGGGAATGCAATAGAGTGGAGTGGAGTGGAATTGAATGGGATGGAATGGGATGGAGTGGAGAGGAGTGGAGTAGAGTGGAGTGGAATGGATTGGAATGGAATGGAATGGAATGCAGCAGAGTGGAATGGAATGGAATGGAATGGAATGGAATGGAAAGGAATGGGATGGGATGGAATGGAATGGAATACAATGGAATGGAATGGACTTGAATGCAATGGAATGCAATGCAATGGAATGGTGAAATGAAATGTGAGCTGAGATTGTGTCACTGCATTCCAGACTAGGTGATAGAGTGAGACCCTCATGAAAGAACGGAGTGGAATGGAATGGAATGGAATGGAGTGGAATGGAATGGAAAGGAATGGAATGGAATAAAATGGAATGGAATGGAATGGAAAAGAATGGAATGGAGTGGTGTGGATTGGTGTGTAGTTGGGTGGAGTGCAGTGGAAAGCAATGGAGAGGAATGGAATGGAATGAAATTTAATGGAATGCAAGGGAATGGAATGCAATTAAATGTTAAAATGATATGTGAGCTCAGATTGTGTCCCTTTACTCCAGCCTGTGTGGGAGAGTGAGATCCTGTCGAAAGAAAGGAATGGAATGGTAAAGAGTGGAATGGAATGGAGTGGAATGGAATGGAATGAAATGAAATGGTCTGCAGTGGAGTGGAGTACAGCTAAGTGGATTGGAGTAAATGGAATTGGATGGAGTGGAATGGAGTGGAGTGGACAAGAGTGGAGTGTAGTGGAGAGCATTAGAGTGGTAAAGAATGGAACGTCTTTGGATGGAATGGAAAATAATGGAGTGGAATGCAGTGGACTGGAATGGAGTAGAATGGAATGGGATGGAATGGAAGGAGTGGAGTGGAGTGGAGTGAAATGGATTGGAGTGGAGTGGAGTGGAGTGGGGTGGAGTGGGGTGGAGGGGGGGGGGATGGAGTGGAGTGGATTGGACGGGGAGAGAAGGGATTGGAAGGGAATGGAATGGAGAAGAGTGGATTGGAATTGAGTGTAAGGGAGTGGAGTCGAGTGGCATGCAGTGGAGTGGACTGGAGTAGAATGGAATGGAATGGAATGGAATGGAATGGAATGGAATGGAATGGAGTGGAATGGAGTGGAGTGGAGTGGAGTGGAGTGGAGTGGCGTGGAGTGAAGTGGAGTGGAGTTGAATGAAAGGGAGTGGAATGGATTAGAATGAAATGGAATGGAATGGAATACAATAGAATATAATGCAATGGAATGGAATGCAATGAAATGCAATGGAAGAGAATGGTGAAATGAAATGTGAGCTGATATTGTGCCACGACAATACAGCCTGTGTGAGAGAGTGAGAGCCTGTCAAAAGAAAAGAAAGGAATGGAACGAAGTATAATGGAATGGAAAGGAATGGAATGGAATGGAATGTGATGGAATGGAATGGAATGGGATGGAATGGAATGGAATGGAATGGAATGGAATGGAATGGAATGGAAGCAAATAGAATGGGATGGGATGGAATGGAATGGGATGCGATGGGATGGGATGGGTTGGAATGGGATGGAATGAAATGGAAGGGAATGGGATGGAATGGAATGGAGTGGAGTGGAGTGGAGTGAAATGGTGTGGAATGGAGTGCAATGGACTGGCATGCAATCGAAAGGAATGTAGTGGAGTTGAATGGAGTGCAGTGTAGTGGAATGGATTGCAATTGAATATGATGAAGTGTAATGTATTGGAGTGGACTGAAGTGGATTAGAGCGGAATTGAGTGGAGCTGAGTGGTGTGGACTGGATTGGGATGGAATTGAATGGAGTGGAATGGCATGGATTGGAGTGGAGTGGAGTGAACTGAAGTGTAGTGGAATGTAGTGGAATGGAATGGTCAAAATAAATTTGAGTTGAGATTGTGCTACTGCACTCCAGGCTGTGTCACAGAGTGAGATCCTGTCGAAAGCAGGGAATGGAATGGAATGCAATGGAATGGAATGCAATGGAATGGAATGGAATGGAATGGAATGGAATGGAATGGAATGGAATGGAATGGAATGGAATGGAATGGAATGGAATGGAATTGACCGGGATGGAATGGAATCAGTTGGAATGGAATGGAATGGAGTGGATTGATGTAGAATGGAGTGGAATGGACTGGGATGGGATGGAATGCAATGGAGTGGACTGGAGTGGAGTGGAGTGGAGTAGATTGGAGAGGAGTGGAGTGGATTGTAGTGGGGTGGAATGGAGTGGAATGGAATGGGATGGAGTGTAATGAAATTGAGTCTACTGGAGTGGAGTGGAGTGTACTGTAATGGAGTGGAGTGGAGTGGAATGGAGTGGAGTGGAGTGGAACTTAAAGGAACGGAAGGGAAAGGAATGGAATGGAATGGAGAGAAATGGAATGGAATTGTGAAACGTAATGTGAGCTAACATTGTGCCACTGCACTCTACCCTGTGTGACAGAGTGAGATCCTGTCTAAAGAAAGGAGTTTAAGGTAATACAGTGTATTGGAATTGAAAGGAAAGGAACGGAATATAGTGGAATGGATTTGAGTGGATTGGAGTGGAGTGGAATGGAATGCAATGGAATGGAATGTGATGTAATGGAATGGAATTCAGTAGATTGGAGTGGAGTGGAGGGGAATGGAGTTGGATAGAATGGGATGTAATGTAGAGCAGTGGAGAGGAGTGGAGTGGAGTGGAATGGAATGCAATGGGTTGGAGTTGAGTGGAAGGGAGTAGAATGGAATGGAATGGAATGGAATGAAATGGAATGGAATGGAATGGTGAAGTCAAATTTGAACGGAGATTGTGCCACTACACTCTAGCCTGTTTGTTAGAGTGAGAACCTGTCGACAGAAAAGAAAGGAATGGAAAGGAGTGGAATGGAGTGGCATGTAATTGAATAGAATGGAATTGAGTGGAGTGGAGTGGAGTAGAGTGGAATGGAATGGAATGGAATGGTATGGAATATTGAAATAAAATATGAGCTGAGATTGTGCCACTGTACTCCACCCTGAGTGACAGAGTGAGATCCTATCAAAAGAAAGCAAAGGAATGGATAGGAATAGACAGGAATGGAATGCATTGGGATTTAATGGAGTGGAGTGGAGTGAAGTGGACTGGAGTGGAGTGTGGTGTAGTGGAGTGGAGTGGTATGGAATGAAATGAAATGGTGAAATGAAATGTGAGCTGAGATTGTGCCACTGCACTCCAGACTTTGTGACAGATTGAGATACTGTCGAAATAAAGGAATGGAATGCAAAGGAGTGGAAAGGAATCAAATGGAATGGAATGAAATGGGATGGTATGGCAGGAAATGGAGTGGTGTGGAGTGTAGTGGTGTGGAATGAAATGGGATGGAGTGGGATGGAATGGAGTGGAGTGGAGTGGAATGTAATGGGATGGAATGGAATTGAGTGGATTAGAGTGGAATGGAGTGGAATGGAATGGTATGAAATGGAATGTAGTGGAGTGGAGTGGAATTGAGTAGAGTGGAATGGAATGGAATCGAATGAAATGAAATGGAGTGGCATGGAATGTAATGCAAAGTTCAAATGTAATGTGAGCTGAGATTATGCGACTGCACTCCACCCGGAGTGACAGAGTGAGAAACTGTCAAACGAAAAAAAATGGAAAGAAACGGATTGCAATGAAATGCTATGGAGTGGAAAGTTGAAATGAAATGTGAACTAAGATTGTGCCACTGCACTCCACCCTGTGTGAAACAGTGATATCCTGATGAAGGAAAGGAAAGGAATGGAATGGAGTGGAAAGGAATGGATTGGGATGGAATGGAGTGGAATGCAGTGGAGTGGGGTGGAGTGGAGTGGAGTGGAATGGAGTGCAATGGAATGGTGAAATGAAATGTGAGCTCAGATTTTCCCACTGAACTCCACCATGTGTGACTAAGTGAGAACACTTTGAAAGAAAGGATTTGAATGGAATGGAATGGATTGGAATACAACGGAATAGAATGGAATTGGATGGAAGGGCATGGAATGGAGTGGAGTGGAATGAAATGGGATTGCGTGGAATGGAATTGAGTGGAGTGGAGTGGAGTGGAGTGGAATGGAATGGAATGGAATGGAGTGAAATGGAATGGAATACAATGGTGAATTGCAATGTCACCTGAGTTTATGCCGCTGGACATCAGCCTGGGTGACAGAGTGAGATCCTGTCAAAAGAAAGGAATGGAATGCAAAGGAATGGAATGGAATGGAATGAAACAGAACGGAATAGAGTGGAGAGGAGTGGAGTGGAGTAGAGTGGAGAGGAGTGGAATGGAGTGGAATGAATCGGGATGTAATGGAATAAGGCGTAGTGGAGTGGACTGGACTGGAATGGAATGGAATGGAATGGCGTGCAGTGGAGTGGAGAGGAGTGCAGTGGAATGGATAGGAACTAAATGGAATGTAGTGATTTGGAATGGAACAGAATGGAATGGAATGCAATGGAATGGTGAAGGCAATGTGAGCTGAGATTGCGCTAAAGCACTCCAGCCTGTGTAACAGAGTGATATACTGTAAAAGAAAAGGAATGGAATGGAATACAGTGGAATGAAATGGAATGGAGTGTTGTGGAGTGGAGTGGAGTGGCGTGGAGTAGAATGGAATGTTGTGGAGTTTAATGGAATGAAGTGGAAGGGAGTTCAGTGAAGTGGAGATGAATGGAGTGGAATACAATGGGATTGAATGGAGTGGAAGGGAATGGAATGGAATGTAGAATGAAATGTGAGCTGAGATTCTGCCACTACACTACAGCCACTGTGACAGAGTGAGATCTTGTTGACAGAAAAGCACAGAATGAAATAGAGTGGAATGTAATGGAATTGAATGGAATGCAGTTGAGTGGAGTGCAGTGGAATGGTGTGGAATGGGATGGGATGCAATGGGATGGAGTGCAGAGGAGTGGAGTAGAGTGGAATGGAATGGAATGGAATGGAATGGAATGCAATGGAATGGAATGGAATGGAATGCAGCAGAGTGGAGTAGAGTGGAGTGGAGTGCAGTGGAATGGAAAAAAAATGGAATGGCATGGAATGCAAAGGAATGGAATGCAATGGAGTGGTGAAATGAAATGTGGGCTCAGATTGTGCGACAGCACTCCAGCCTGGGTGAAAGAATCAGATTCTGTCAAAAGAAAGGAATGGAATGGAAAGGAGTGGAAAGGAATGCAATGTAGTGGAATGGAAAGGAGTGGAGTGGAGTGGACTGGAGTAGAATGGAATGGGATTGAATTGAAAGAAGTTGAGTGGACTGGAGTGTTGTGGAATGGAGTGGAATGGAATGGGATGGAATGAAGCGGAGTGGAGTGGATTGGAGTGGAGTGAAGTGGAGTGGAGTGTAGTGGACAGGAATGGAATGGAAGTTAAAGGAATGGAAGGCAATGGAATGGAATAGAATGGAATGGAATGGAATGGAATGGAATGGAACGGAATGCTATGGTGAAATGAAATATGAGCTGATATTTTTCAACTACACTGTAACCTGGGTGACAGAGTGATATGCTGTCGAAAGAAAGGAATGGAATGAAATGGAGTGGAATGGAATGGAGTGGAATGGAGTGGAGTGAAGTGGAGTGGGCTGGAGTGGGGTGGAGTGGAGTGGACTGGAGTGGAGTGGAGTGAACTGGAATGGAATAGAGTGGAGTGGAGGGGAATATATTGGAATAGAATATTATGGAGTGGAATGGAATGGCGTGGACTTTGGTGGAGTGGAAAGGAATCGAGGGGAGTGCATAGGAGTGGAGTGGAGTGGAGTGGAATGGAATGGAATGGAATGCAGCTGAGTGGAGTGGAATGCAATGGACGGAATGGAATGGAATGAGATGGAATGGAATTGAGTGGAATGCAATGCAAAAGAATGCAATTGAATGGTGAAACGAAACGTGAGCTGAGATTGTGCCACTGCATTCCAGCCTGGGTGACAGAGAGATCCTGTTGAAGAAAATGAATGGAATGGAAAGGAGTGGAATGGAATAGGATGGAATGGAATGGAAATAAGTTGAGTGGATTGGCGTGAATGGAACGCAATGGAGTGGACAGGAGTGGAGTGGAGAGGATTGGAGTGGAATGGAATGGAATGGAATGGAATGGAATGGAATGGAATGGAATGGAATGGAATGGAATGGAACGGAATGGAATGGAATGGAATGGAATGGAAAGAAGTGCAATGGAGTGGATGGGAGTGGAATGGAGTGGAACAGAATGGGATGGAAAGAAGTGGTGTGGAGTGGAATGGAGTGGAGTGGACTGGAATGGAATGGAATTCTAGGGAATGCAATGGAATGGAATGGAATTCTATGGTGAAATGAAATGTGAGCTCAGGTTGTTCCACTGCACTCTAACCTGTGTGAAAGAGTGAGAACCTGTCAAAAGAATGGAATGGAGTGGAGTTGAATGGAGTAGAGTGAAATGGAGTGGAGTGGAGTGGACTGGAGTGGAATAGAGTGCAGTGGAGAGCATGTGAATGGAGTGGAACAGAATGGTATGATGTACAATGGAATGGAGTGGAGAGGAGTGAATTGGAGTGGAGTCGAGTGGAGTACATTGGAGTGGAATGGAGTGGAATGGAATTGAAGGGAATGGAACAGAATCGAATTGAATGCTATGGTGAAATGAAATGTGAGCTGAGATTGTTCCACTGCACTCTAACCTAGGTGAAAGAGTGAGCTCCTTTTGAAAGAAAGGAATGGAATGGAGTGGAGTGGAGTGGAGTAGAATGGAATAAAGTGGAATGGAATGGAATGGTGAAATGAAATGTGTGCTGATATTATGCCACTGAACTCCAGCCTGAGCTGAGACTGTGTCACTGCACTCCAGCCTGTGTGACAGAGTAAAATTCTGTCTAAAGAGAGGAATGGAATTTAATGGAGTAAAATGGAATGGAATGGAATGGGGTGGAGTAGAGTGGAGAAGAGAGGAATGGAGTGGAATGGGATGAAATGGAATGGAATGTAGTGGAGTGGAGTGGAGAGGAATGGAGTAATATGTACTGGAATAGAAAGGAATGGAATGGCATGGAGTGGAGTGGAGAAGAGTGGAGTGGAATGGAATGGAATGGAATGGGATGGGATGGAATCGAATGGAGTGGAGTGGAATTGAATAGGATTGAATGAGGTAGAGTGGAGTTGATTGGAGTGGACTGGAATTGAATGGAATTTTAGGAAATGGAATGGAATGGAATGCTATGATGAAATAAAATGTGAACGGAGTTTATTCCACTGCACTCTAACCTGGCTGAAAGAGTGAGACCCTGTCAAAAGAAAGGAATGGAAAGGAATGGAGCAGAATGAAATGGAATGGAGTGCAGTGGAGAGGAGTGGATTGGAATGGAACAGAGCGGAGTGGAGTGGACTGGAGTGGAGTAGAGTGGAGTGGTGTTAATATGAATGGAGTGGAATACAATGGTATAAAGTTGAACGGAATTGAGTGTAGTGGAGTCGATTGGAGTGCATTGGATTGGAATGGAGTGGAATGGAATGGAATGGAGTGGAATAAAGTAAAGTGGAGTGGAGTGGAATAGAGTGGAATGGAGTGGAATGGAACGGAGTGGAGTAGAGTGGAGTGGAGTACAGAGGAATAGAGTGGAATTGAATGCAATGGAATGGAATGGAATGGAATGGAATGGTGAAATGAAATGTGAGCTGAAATTGTGCCGTTGCACTCCAGCCTGAGCTGAGATTGTGCCACTGCACTCCAGCCTGTGTGACAGGCTGAGATGCTGTCAAAAGCACGGAACGGAAAGGAATGGAATGAAATGGTATGGAATGGAATGGAATGGAGTGGAGAGGAGTGCAGTGGAGTGGAGTGGAGTAGAGTGGAGACGAGTGAAATGGAGTGGAATGAGATGGAATGGAATGGAATGCAGTGGTGTGGAGTGGAGTGAAATGCAGGACTTTGGACAGGAATGTAATGGAATGGAATGGCATGGAGTGGAGTGTAGAGGAGTGGAGTGGATTAGAATTCAATGAAAAGGAATGGAATTTAATGGAATGGAATCGAATGGAGTGGAGAGGAGTGGAATGGAAAGGGATGGAATGGAGTGCAGTGGAGTGGAGTTAAATGGATTGGAGTGGAGTGGACTTGAATGGAATGGACTGTAAAGAAGTGGAATGGATTGGAGTGCAGTGGAGTGGAATGTAGTGGAATGGAATGGGATGGATTGAAGTGGAGTGGAGTGGAATGGAATGGCATGGAATTGAAAGAAGCGGAGTGGAGTGGAGGGGAATGAATTGGAATGGAATAGGATGGAATGGGAAGGAGTGGAGTTGAGCGGAATGGAGGGGAGTTTAGTAGAGTGGACTGGAATGGAATAGAGTGGAGTGGAGTGGAATGTATTGGAATAGAATGTTATGGAGTGGAATGGAAAGGAGTAGAATGTGGTGGAGTGGAGTCGAGTGGAGTTCATAGGGGTGGAGTGGAGTGGAATGGAATGGAATGCAGCTGAGTGTAGTGGAATGGAATGGAATGGAATGGAATGGAATGGAATGGAATGGAATGGAATGGAGTGGAAGGCAATGCAAAAGAATGCAATGGAATGGTGAAATGCAACGTGAGCTGAGATTGTGCCACTGCACTCCAGCCTGTGTGACAGAGTGAGAAGCTGTCAAAAGCACGGAATGGAAAGGAATGGAGTGAAATGGCATGGAATGGAATGGAGTGGAGAGGAGTGGAGTGGAGTGGATTAGAGCGGAGAGGAGTGGAATGGGATGGAATGGAATATAGTGGAGTGGAGTGGAGTGGAATGCAGGACTATGGACTGGAATGTAATGGAATGTAATGGCATGGAGTGGAGTGTAGAGGAGTGGAGTGGATTAGAATTCAATGGAACGGAATGGAATTTAGTGGAATGGAATCGAATGGAGTGGAGAGGAGTGGAATCAAAAGGGATGGAATGGAGTGGAGTGGACTGCAGTTAAATGGATTGGAGTGGAGTGGACTGGAATGGAATGGACTGCAAAGAAGTGGAATGGATTGGAGTGGAGTGGAGTGGAATGTAGTGGAATGGAATGGGATGGATTGAAGTGCAGTGGAGTGGAATGGAATGGCATGGAATGGAAAGAAGTGGAGTGGGGTGGAGTGGAGTTGAGAGCAATGAATTGGAATGGAATGGGATGGAATGGGACGGAGTGGAGTTGAGTGGAATGGAGGGGAGTGGAGTGAAATGGAATGGAGTGGAGTGGACTGAATGGGAGTGGAGTTTAAAAGAAAAGAATGGAGTGGAATGGAATGGAAGGCTACAGTGAAATAAAATATGAACTGGGATTCTTCCACTGCACCACAAACTGTGACACAGTGACAAAATTTCAAAAGAAATGAATGGAATGGAATAGAGTGGAATGGAATGGAATGGAATGGAGTGGAGAGATGTTGACTGGAGTGGAGTGGAATGGAGGGGAATGGAATGGTAGGGAGTGGAATGGAATGGAGTAAAGTGGAGTACAGAGATGTGGAGTAAATTGGTGTGGAATGCAATGGGATGGAATGCAGTGGATTGGAGTGGAATTCAGTGGAGTGCAATGGAGAGGACTGGAATGGAGAGGAATAGAATGGAATGCAATGAAATGGAGTGGATATGGGCTGAAATTGCTTCACTGCACTCCAGCCAGTGTGACAGAGTCACATTTTCTCGACAGAAAGTAATGGAGTGGTATGGAATGGAATGGAATGGAATGGAATGGAATGGAATGGAATGGAATGGAATGGAATGGAATTCATTAGAGTGCAGTGGAGTGGTGCAGACTGGGGTGGAAGAGTGTGGAATGGGATGGCAGGGAATGCTATAGAGTGGAGTGGAGTGGAATAAAATGGTATGGAATGGGATGGAGTGGAGAGGAGAGGAGTAGAATGGAATGGAACGGAATGTAATGGAATGCAATGGAATGGAATGCAAAGGAATGGTGAAAAGAAATGTGAGCTGAGACAGTGTCACTGCTCTCCAGACTGGGTGACAGAGTGAGATCCTGTAGAAAGACAGTAATGGAATGGATAGGAGTGGAATGGAATGGAATGAAATTGAATGGAGAGGATTAGAGTGAAGTCGAGTGGAGTGGAATGGAATGGAACTGAGTGGAGTGGAGTGGAATGGAATGGAATGGAATGGAATAGAATAGAATGGAATGGAATGGAATGGAATGGAGAAATGAAATGTGAGCCGAGATTTTGCCACTGCACTTCAGACTGTGTGACAGAGTGAGATCCTGTCGAAAGAAAGGAAAGGAAGGGAATGGAGTGGAATGGATTGGAATGGAAATGAATGGAGTGGAGTGAAGTGGAGTGGAATTGACCGGAGTGGAGTGTAATGGAATGGAATGGAATGGAATGGAATGGAATGGAATGGAATGGAATGGAATAAAATGGAAAGGTGAAATGAAACGTGAGTTGAGATTGTTCCACTGCACTGCAAACTGGGTGAAGGAGTGAGATCCTGTTGAAATAAAGGAATGGAATTGAATGGAGTGGAATGGAATGCAGTGGAGTGCACTGGACATGAGAGGAGTAGAGTGGAGTGCAGGGGAATGAAGTGGAATAGAATTGGATGGAGTAGATTGGAATGGAGTGGAGAGTAGTGGAGTGGAGTGGAGTCGAGTGGAGTGCAGTGGAGTGGACTGGAGTGGAAAGGAATAGAATAGAAAGTAATGAAATGGAGTGGAGTGGAATGTATTGTAGATGAATGGAGTGCAGTGGAATAGAATTGAATGAAATGGAATAGAATTGAATGAAATGGAATGGAATGGAATGGAATGCAATGGAATGGAATGGAATAGAATGGTGAAATGAAATATGAGCTGAGATTGTGCCACTGCACTCTAGCCTGAGTGAGAGAGTGAGATCCTGTTGAAATAAAATAATGGAATGTAAGGGAGTGGAATGGAATGGAGTGGAGTGGAGTGGAGTGTGGTGGAGTGGAGTGGAGTGGAGTGGAATGGGATGCAGTGGAATGGAGTGGATTGGAGTGGAGCGGAGTGGAGATCCTGTTGAAACAAAGGAATGGAATGGAATGGAGTGGAATGGAATGGAGTGGAATGGCGTAGATTGGTGTGGAGTGCAGTGGAGTGAAGTGGAGCAGAATGGTGATAAATGGCATGGTGAAATGATATGCGAGATGAGATATTGTTATTGCACTCAACCCTGTGTCACAGAGTGAGATTCTGTAGAAACTACGGAAATAATTTCAATGGAGTTTAATGGAATGGAATGGAATGGAATGGAATGGAATGGAATGGAATGGAATGGAGTGGAATGGAAGGGGATGAAATGTAGTAGAATGAAGTGGAGTGGAGTGGAGTGGAGCGGTGTGGAATGGAGTAGAATGGAATGGGATGGCAAGGAATGGAATGGAGTGAAGAGGATTGGAGTAGACTGGAGTGGAGTGGAGTGGAATTGAGTGTAGAGGAGTGGAGTGGAACAGAAAGGAATGGAACAAAATGTAATGGAATGGAATGGAATGGAACGAAATGGAATGGAATGAAATGGAATGCCATGATTAAATAAAATGTGAGCTGAGAGTGTGACACTGAATTCCAGCCTGGATGAAAGAGTGATATCCTGTCGAAAGAAAGGAATGTAATGTAGTGGTGTGTAATGGAATGGAATGGAATGGAGTGGAGCGGAGCGGAGTGAAGTGGAGTGGAATAACACTTAATGGAAAGGAACGGAATGCAGTGGAGTGGAATGGAATGGAGTGGAATGGAACTGGGTGGAATGGAAAGGAGAGGAATGGAGTAGAGCACGGTGGAATGCAATGGAATGGAGCGAAGAAGACTTGAGTGGAGTGGAGTGGAATGGAGTGAAATGGAAAGGAATGCAATGGAATGGTGAAATTAAATGTGAGATGAGATTCTGCCACTGCACTGCAGCCTGTATGACAGAGTGAGATCCTGTCGAAAAAAGGAATAGAACTGGCTGGAATGGAGTGGAATAACGTGGAGTGGAATGGAGTGGAATAGAATGTTATGGAATGGAATGGAATGGAGTGGAGAGGAGTCGTGTGGAACAGAGTGGAGTGGAGTCGAATAGAGTGGAATCGAATTGGAAGGAATGGAATGGAATGGAATATAATGGAGTGGAGGGGTGTGTAGTGCTGTTGAGTGGAATGGAATGGAATGGGATGAAATGGAATGGAATGGTGAAATGAAATGTGAGCTGAGATTGGGCCACTGTATTCCAGCCTGTGTAACAGAGAGAGATGATGTCGAAGTAAAGGAATGGAATGGAATGGAGTAGAACGGAATGGAATGGAGTGGAGTGGAAACGAATGCAGTGGAATGGAGTGGAATGAAGTTGAATGGAGTGCAGTGGAATGGAGTGGAATGGAATGTCATGGAATGGATTGGGATGGATTGCAATGGAGTGGAGTGGTGAGGAGTGGAGTGGAGTGGAATTGAGTGGAGTGGAGTGGAATGGAATAGAATGGAATGGAATAGAATGGAATGGAATGGAATGGAATAAAATGGAAAGGTGAAATGAAATGCGAGTTGATATTGTTCCACTGCACTGCAAACTGGGTGAGGGAGAGAGACCCTGTCGAAAGAAAGGAATGGAATGGAATGGAGTGGAATGGAATGCAGTGGAGTGGAGTGGACAGGAGTGGAGTAGATTGGAGTGGAAGGGAATGAAGTGGCATAGAATGGGATGGAGTGGACTGGAATGGAGTGGAGAGTAGTGGAGTGGAGTGCAGTGGAGTGGACTGGAGTGGAAAGGAATAGAATGGAATGGAATGAAAAGGAATGGAGTGGATTTAATTGTAGTTGAATGGAGTGGACTGGAATGGAATTGAACGAAATGGAATGCCATGGAATACAATAGAATGGAATGCAATGGAATGGAATGCAATGGAATGTAATGGAATAGAATGGTGTAATGAAATGTGGGCGGAGATTGTGCCACTGCAATGTAGCCTGGGTGAGAGAGTGAGATACTGTCAAAAGAAAGGAATGGAATGTAAGGGGCTGGAATGGAATGAGGTGGACTGGAGTGGAGTGGAGTGGAATTGGATGCAGTGGAATGGAGTGGATTGGAGGGGAGTAGAGTGGAGTGAAATGGAACAGAATGAAGTGTAGTGGAGTGGAGTGGAATGGAATGGAATGGAATGGAGTGGATTGGAGTGGAATTGAATGGAGTGGAATGAAATGGAATGGAATGGAATGTGAGTTGAGATTGTGCCACTGCACTCCAGCCTCGGTAACAGAGTGAGATCCTGTCGAAACAAAGGAATGGAATGGAATGGAGTGGAATGGCGTGCATTGGTGAAGAGTGCAGTGAAGTGAAGTGAAGTGGAATGGTGAGGAATGGTATGGTGAAATGCTATGAGAGATGAGATTTTGCTATTACACTCCAGCCTGTGTCACATAGTGAGATTCTGTAGCAACTAGGGAAAGAAATGGAATGAAGTTTAATGGAATGGAATAGAATGGAATGGAATGGAATGGAATGGAATGGAATGGAATGGAATGGAGTAGAGTGGAATTGGATGAAATGGAATAGAATGGAGTGGACTGGAGTGGAGTGGTGTGGATTGGAGAGGAATGGAATGGGATGGCATGGAATGGAGTGGAGTGTAGTGGAATGGAGTGGACTGGGGTGGAGTGGAGTGGAATTGAGTGGAGTGGAGTGGAATTGAGTGTAGTGGTGTGGAGTGGAACAGAACGGAACGGAAGAAAATGGAATGGAATGTAATGGAATTGAATGAAATGGAATGGAATAGAATGCAATGCAATGGTTTAATGAAATGTGAGCTGAGATTGTTCCACTGCATTCCAGCCTGGGTGCAAGAATGAGATCCTGTCGAAAGAAAGAAATCTAAGGTAATGGAGGGTACTTGAATGGAATAGAATGGAATGGAATGGAATGGAATGGAATGGAATGGAATGGAATGGAATAGAGCAGATTGTAGTGGAGTGGAATGTGACATAAAGGAAAGGAAAGGAATGGAGTGGAGTGGAGTGGAATGGAATGCAGTGGAATGGAGTTGGATGGAATGGAGAGTAGATGAGTGTAGTGGAGCACATTGGAATGGAATAGAATGGAGTGAAGTGGACTTGAGTGGGTTGGAGTGGAATGAAGTGGAATGGACTGGAATCCAATGGAATGGTGAAATGAAATGTTAGATGAGATTGTGCCACTGCACTTCAGCCTGTATGGCAGAGTGTGATCCCGTCAAAAGAAGGAATAGAATTAACTGGAATGGAGTGGAACAAAGTGGAGTGGAATGGAGTGGAATGAAAGGTTAGGGAATGGAATGGAATAGAAAGGAATGGAGAGAAGTGGTGTGGAATGGAGTGGAGTGGAATGGAATAGAGTGGAATGGAATGGGATGGAATGGAATGCAATGAAATGGAATAGAGTGGAGTGGAGGGGTGTGCAAAGCTGTTGAGTGGAATGGAATGGAATGGAATGGAATAGAATGGAATGGTGAAATGAAATGTGAGGTGAGATTTGGTCACTGCACTCTAGCCTGTGAAAAAGAGTGAGATGATGTCGAAATAAAGGAATGCAATGGAATGGAGTAGAGTGGAATAGAATGTCATGGAATGGAGAGTAAGTGATAAGAATGGATTAAAGTGGTGTGGAGTGGAGTGGAGTGGAATGGAGTGGAGTGGAATGGAATGGAGTGAAATGGAGTTGAATGGAATGAGTGGAACGAAATGGAGTGGAGCACAGTGGAGTGGAGTGGAATGAAGTGCAATGGAGAGGAGCGGAATGGAGTGGAGTGGAATAGAATGGAATGGAATGGAACGCAACAGAATGTAACCGTATGGTAGGCGGTGGAGCAGAGTAAAGTGGAGTGGAGTTGAGTGGAGTGGATGGGAGTGCAGTGGAATGGAATGGAATGGTATGGAATGGAATGGAATGGAATGGAATGGAATGGAATGGAATGGAATGGAATGGAATGGAATGGAAAAGAATGGAATGGAATGGAACGGAACGGGATAGAATGGAGTGCAATGGAGTGGAGTGTAGCATCGTGGATTGTAGTGGAGTAGAGGGGAATGGAATGGAATGGAATGGAATGGAATGGAATGGAATGGAATGGAAATGATTGGTGAAAGGAAATGGGAGCTAAGATTGTGCCACTGCACTCCAGTCGGGATCACAGAGTAAGATCCGGACGAATTAAAGGAATGGAAAAGCATAGAGAAGAAGGTAATGGAATGGAGTGGAGTGGAATTGAGTGGAGTGGAATGGAGTGGAGTGGAGTGGAGTAGAATGCAGTGGAGTGGAGTGGAGTGCAATGGAGTGGAGTGGAATTGAGTGGAGCGGAATGGAATGGAATGAAATGGAGTGGAATGGAGTGGAGTGGAGTGGAGTGGAATTGAGTGGAGCGGAATGGAATGGAATGGAATGGAATGGAATGGAATGGAATGCAATGGAATGGAATGGAATGCAATGGAATGGAATGCAATGGAATGGAATGGAATGGAATGGCACCGAACAGAGTGGAGTGGAGTGGAGTTGAGTGGAGCAGATCGGAGTGCAGTAGAATGGAAAGGAATTGAATGGAATGGAATGGAATGGAATGGAATCCAATGGAATCCAATGGAATGAAATGGTGAAATGAAATGTGAGCTAAGATTGTGCAACTGCACTCCAGTCTTTGTGACAGAGTGAGATTGAGTAGAAATAAAGGATTGGAATGTAATGGAGTAGAATTGAATGGAGTGGAGTAGAGTGCAGTGAAGTGGAATGGAACAGAATGGCATGAAATGGAGTGCAGTTGAATGGAATGGAGTGGAATGGAAAGGAACGGAACAGAATGGAATGCAATGGAATGGAATGTAGAAATGAAATGTGAGATTAGATTGTGTGACTGCACTCAAGTCTAAGTAACAGAGTGAGATCCAGTTGAAATAATGCAGTGGAATGGAATGTAGTAGAATAGAATGCAATGTAATGGAGTGGAATAGAATGGAATGGAGTGGAATGGGGTGGAATGGAATGGAGTGGAATGAATTGGAGTGGAATGGAGCGGAATAGAATGGAATGGAGAGGAATGGAAAGGAATGAAGTGGAATGGAGAACAGTGGAGTGAAATGCAATGGAGTAGAGTATAGTGCAATGGAGTGGAGTGCAGTAGAGAGCAACGGAGTTGAATGGAGTGGAATGGAATGGAATGGAGTGGAGTGGAGTGGAGTGAAGTGAAGTGCAGTGGAATGGAGCAGAATGGAGAAGAGTGGAATGGGGAGGAGTGGAATGAAATGGAGTGGAATGGAAGAGAGCCGAAAGGAATGGACCTGAATGGAATGGAGTGGAGTGGGGTGGAATGGAGTAGAGTGGAATGAAGTAGAATGCAGTAGATCAGAGTGCAGTGGAAAGGAATGGAATGGAATAGAGTGGAATGGAATGGAATGGAGTGGAGTGGAATGGAATGGAATGCTGAAACGAAATGTGTGCTAAGATTGTGCCAATGCAATCCAGTCTACATGTCAGAGTGAGATTCAGTCGAAATAAAGGATTGTAGTGGAATGGAGTGAAATGGAATGGAGTGGAGTGAAGTGTAGTGGAGGGGAGTGTAATGGAGTGGCATGGAGTAACATGTACTGCAGTAGAATAGAGTAGAGTGGAATAGAATGGAGTGGAATGGAACAGAACAGAAGGGCATGGCACGGATTGGAATGGAACCGAGTGGAGTGGAGTAGAGTGGAGTTGAGTGTAGTGGATCGGAGAGCAGTGGAATGGAATGGAATGGAAGGGTGAAATGCAATGAGGGATAAGATTCTGCCACTGCACTGCAGTCTCGGTGAAAGGTGAGATCCTGTTGAAATAAAGGAATGGAATGGAATGCCACAAAATGGAAAGGAATGGACCGGGGTGGAATTAAATGGAGAGGAACGTAGTGTAATGGAATGGAGTGCAGAGGAAAAGTGGAGTGGAATTGAGTGGAGTGGAAAGGAGTGGAATGGATAAGAATAGAATAGAATTGAATGGGGTGGAATTGAAAGGAATTGATTGGAACAGAGAATAGTGGAGTGAAATGGAGTAGATTGGAATGGATTGGAGTGGAATGGAGTTGAAAGGAGTGGAGTGGAATAAAATGGAATGAAGTGGAACAGAATGGAATGGAGTGGAGTGGAATGCAATCAAAAGGAATGGTGTGGAATGGAATGAAATAGAGTGCAAAGGAATGCAGTAGAGTGCAGTGGAGTGTAGTGGAATGGAGAGGAATGTAGTGAAATGCAGTGTAGTGGAATGGAATGGAGTAGAATGGAATGAAATGGAAAAGAATGGAACAGAGGAGAATGGAATTGACTGGAGTGGAGTGGACATGAATGTACTGGATCAGAGTGCAGTGGAATGCAATGGAATGGAATGGATTGGAATGGAATGGAATGGAACGGAACGGAATGGAATGGAATGGAATGGAATGGGATGGAGAGGATTGGAATGGAGTGTAGTAGAGCGGAATGGAGTTGAGTGGAATGGAATTGAGTGGAAAGGAATGGAACAAAAAGGTATGGAATTGAATGGAGTGGAGTAAGGTTTTATGAAATGGAGTGTATTGGTGTGGAATGGAAAGGAATGGAATGGAGTGTAGTTGAATGGAACGGAGTAGAGTGTTATGTACTGGATTGTAGTGCAGTTCAGTGGAGTTGAGTGAGGTAGAGTAGAAATGAGTGGAATGGAATGGCATGGAGTAGAATGGAATGGAATAGAACAGAATGGAATGGGATGGAAAGGAATGGAATGGAATGGAACGGCACAAATTGATATGGACTTGAGTAGAGTGGTGTTTAGTGGAGTGGATCAGAAGGCACAGCAATGGAATGGAAAGGAATGCAAAGGAATGGATTGGAGTGGAATGGAAAGGAATGCAGTGGAGTGGAGTGGAGCAGAGTGGAGTGGAGTGAAGTGGAGTTTAGTGGAGTGGAGTGGAATGGAAGGGAGGGCTGTGGAATGGAATGGAATAGAATTGAATAGAGTGGAGTCGAGTGGAGTGCGGTGGAACGGAATGGAGTGGAGTGGAATGGAGTGGAGTGGGGTGGAATGGAATGGTTTGGAAGGAATGGACTGGAGTGGAATGGAATGGAGTGGAGCAAAGTGGAGTGGAGTGGTGTGGAGTGGAATGGAAAGGAATGGAATGGAATGAAGTGGAAAGAATGTAGTGCTGCAGACAGTAGTGGAGAGGAGTGGAATAGAGTGGAAAGTAGTGAAATGGAGTGGAGTGGAATGGAGTGGAGTTGAATGTAATGGAGTGGAATGGAACAGAATAGAATGGAGTGGAGTGGAGAGGAATGGAGTGGAGTGGAATGGAATGGAGTGAAATGGAATGGAATAGAACGGAATGGAATTTAATGGTACAGAACGGAAAGGAATGGAATAGAAAGGAGTGGAGTGGAATGGAGTGAAGTGGAGTGGAATTGAGTGGAGTGGATGGAGTGCAGTGGAATGCAAGGGAATGGAATGGCATGAAATGGAATGGAGTGGAGTTAAACGGACTAGAGTGGAGAGGAGTGGAGAGGCGTTGAGTGGAGTGGAGTGGATCAGATCGAATTGCAGTGTAAAGGATACTATGGAATATAGTGAAATGGAGTGAAGTAAATGAAATTGAGTGATGTGAGGGGGAGTGTAGCGCATTCATGTGGAGTTGAATGCAGTGGAGTGGAATGAAATGCAGTGAATCGAATAGAATGGAATGGAACACAATGGAACGGAGTGGAGAGGAGAGGAGTGGATTTGAGTGGAATGGAATGGAGTGGAATGGAGTGCATTGGAATGGAGTGGAATGGAAAGGAATGGAATGGAATGGAATGGAATGGAACGGAATGGAACGGAATGGAACAGAACGGAACGGTACGGAATGGAATGGAATGGAATGGAACGGAATGGAATGGAAAGGAACGGAGTGAAGTGGATTGGAGTGGTGTGGAATGGAATGGAGTGGAGTGGAGTGGTGTGGAATGGAATGGATTGGATTGGAGTGGAATGGAATGGAATGGAATGGAATGGAATGGAATGGAATGGAATGGAATGGAATAAAAAGCAATGGAATGGAAAGTGGAGGGGTGGAGTGGAGTGGAACAGAGTGGAGTTGAGTGAAGTGGATTGGGGTGGATTGGGGTTGATTGGTGTGGAATGGAAAGGAATGGAATGTGGTGGAATGTAAAGGAATGGAGAGGAATGGAATGGAATGTAGTGGTGTGAAATGGAATGGAATGGAAAGGAGTAGAGTGGAATGGAAGGGAATGGAGTGGAATGGAATGGAGTGGAGTGGAATGGAGCAGAAATGAATGGCGTGGAATGGAATGTAATGGAACGGAGTGGAATGGAATGGGACGGAATGAAATGGAACGGAATGGTACATAGTGGTGTGCAGTGGAGTGGAGTTGACGGGAGAGGATAGGAATTCAGTGGAATGGACTGGAATGGCATGGAATGGAATGGAGTGGAGTGGAATTGAGAGGAGTGGAGTAGAGTGGAGGGGAGTGCAGTGGAGTCTAATGGAATGGAATGGAATGAAATAGAATGAAATGGAATGGAATGGAATGGAATGGTAAAATGAAATGTTAGCTAAGATAGTGCCACAGCACTCCAGTCTGGGTGAAAGAGTGAGATCCAGTCGAAATAAAGGAATGGAAAGGAATCAAGTAGAAAGCAATGGGATGGAGTGGAGTGGAATGGAAGGGCCTGCAGTAGGATGCAGTGGAGTGGAACGGAGTGGAGTGAAATGGAGTGCAGTGGAGTGGAATACAGTGGAGTGGAATGGAGTGGAGTGGAATGGACTGGAATAGAGGGTAATGGAATGTAAAGGAGCAGAATGGAAAGGAATAAAGTGGAGTGGAGTGAAGAGGAGTAAATTGGCAAGGAGTGGAGGGAGATGGTGAGGAGTGAAATGGAGTGGAATGGAACGGAATGGAGTGGAATGGAATGAAATGGAGCGGAATGGAATTTAGTGGAGTGGAGAGGAGTGGAGTGGAGTGGAATAAAGTGGAGTGTATTGGAATGGATTGGACTGGAATGGAAAGGAGAGGAAAGGAAGGGAAGGTATAGGAACAGAACAGAATGGAACAGAGTGGAGTGGAGTGGAGTGTACTGGAGTTGAGTGTAGTGGATCAGAAGACACTGGAATGGAATGGAACGAAATGGAATGGAACGGAATTGAACGAAATGGAGTGGAGTGGAGTGGAGTAGAATAGAATGTAAAGGAATGGAATGGAGTGGAATGGAATGGAATGGTGAAAAAAAATGTGAGGTAACATTGTGCTACTGCTCTCCAGTATGGGTGACGGAGTGAGATCCTGTTGAAATAAAGGAATGGAATGGAATGGTTTAGAATGGACTGGCATGGAGTGGAGTGGATTGGAAGGGAGTGGAATGTAGTGGAGTGGGGCGAAAAGGAGTGCAGTGGAGACGAATGGAGTGGAGTGGTATAGAGTGGAGTGGAATAAAGAGGAACGAAGTGGAATGGAATGGAATGGAGTGGAGTATAATGGAATGGAGTGGAGTGGAGTGGATTGGAATGCAATGGAGTGGAGTGGAATGGGGTGGAATATAATGTAATGGAAAGGAGTGGAATGGAATGGAATGAAGTTGAATGGAATGGAGTGAATTTGAGTGGAGCGGAGTGGAGTGGCGTGGAGTCGAGTGGAGTTGAGTTGAATGGTGTGAAATTGTGTGGAGTGGAATGGAGTGGAGTGGAAAGCAATGGAGTTTAGGAAAAGGAATGGAACAGAACGGAATGGAACAGAACGAAATGGAGTGGAGTGGTGTGGAGTTGAGTGGAGTGGATCAGAGTGCAGTGGAATGGAATGGAATGGAAAGGAAAGGAATGGAGTGTATTGGAGTGGAGTGGAGTGGAGTGGAGTGGAGTGGAGTGAGGTGGACTGGAGTTGAGTGCAGTGGAGTAGATTGGAATGGAATGGAATGGAATGGAATGGAATGGAATGGAATGGAATGGAAGGGTGAAATGAAATGTGAGCTAAGAATGTACCACTGCTCTCCAGTCTGGGTGAGAGAGTGAGTTCCAGTCGAAATAAAGGAATGGAAAGGAATAGAGTAAAACTGAATGGAATGAAGTGGAATGGAATGGATTGGAATGGAGTGGTGTGGAGTGTAATGGAGTGGAAAGGAATGGAATGGAATGGAGTGGAATTGAAAGGAGAGGAGTGGAATGGAATGCAGATGAGGGGAGAGGAATGAAGTTTAATGAAGTGAAATGGAGTGGAGTGGAATGGAGTGGAGTGGAATGTAATGGAGTGGAATTTAATGGAATGGAACAGAACGGAATGGAACATAATGGAGTGGAGTGGAATGGAGTTGAGTGGAGGGAAGAGGAGTGTAGTAGAATTTAATGCCACGGAGTGAAATACAGTGGAGAGGAATTGATTGGAGAGGAATGGAATGGAGTGGAATGAAATAGAACTGAACAGTATGGAACGCAATGGAACGGAGTGGAGCGGAATGGAGTTGAGATGGGTGGAGAGGATTGGAGTGCAGTGGAATAGAATGGAATGGAATGGAGGGGAGTAGAGTGGACTGGAGTGGAGTGGAGTGGAATGGAGTGGAGTGGAATGGAATGGAATGGAATGGAATGGAATGGAACGAAACGGAAGGGAAAGTAGTGGAATGTCGTGTGGGGGAGGTGTGTGGAGTGGTTCGGAGTGCAGTGGAATGTAATGGCATGGAATGGAATGGAATTGGACTGGAATGGAATGCAATGGAATGGAATGGAATGGAATGGAAAGGAGTGGAATGTCGTTTGGGGGAGTTGAGTGGAGTGGATCAAAGTGCAGTGGAATGGAATAGCATGGAATGGAATGGAATTGAATGGAGTGGAATGGAATGCAATGCGATGGAATGGAAAGTAATGGAATGGAATGGAATGGTATGGAATGGAACGTCATGCAATGGAATGCATGAGAACGGAGTGGAGTAAAGTGAATTGGAGTGGAGTTGAGTGAAGTGGAGTGGAGTTGAGTGGAATGGAATGCAATGGAAAGGAATGCAATGCAATGGAAAGGAATGGAATGGAATGGAATGGAATGGAATGGAATGGAATGGAATGGAATGGAGTGGAATGGAATCGAAAGGTGAAATCAAATGTGAGCTAACAATGTGCCACTGCACTTAGAGTCTGGGTGAGACAGTGAGTTCCAGTCGAAACAAAGAATGGCAAGGAATGGAGTAAAATCGAATAGAATGGAGTGCAGTGGAATGGAAAAGGTTAGCATGGAGTTTAGTGGGGTGGAATGGAGTGCAGGGGAATGGACTGGAGAAGAATGGAGTGGAATGGAATGAAATGGAAGGCAGTGAAATGGAAGAGAATGGACTGGAATCGAGTGGAGGGGAGTGGAAGGGAGTTGAGTGGAATAGAGCGGAGAGGAATGATGTGAAATTGAGTAGAATATAGTGGAACGGAGTGGAAAGGAATGGAATGGAATGGAATGGAACGGAACGGAACGGAACGGAATGGAACGGAATGGAATGGAATGGAATGGAGCAGAGTGGAGTGGAGTGGAGTAAAGTGGAGTGGAATGTTGTGGAATAGAGAGAAATGTAGTGGAGTGGAATGGAGTGGACTGGAAAGGAATGGAGTGGAATGGAACAGATCCGAAAGCAACAGGAAGGAACAAAATGGAACAGAGGGGAGTGGAGTGGAGTTGATTGGAGTTGAGTGGATTGGACTGGAGTGCATTAGAAAGGGTTGGCATGGAATGGAGTGGAGTGGATTGGATTGGAGTGGAGTGGATTGGAATGGAGTAGAATGGAATGGAGTGGAGTGGAATGGAAAAGAATGGATTGGAATGGAACTGAATGGAATGGAATGGAATGGAATGCAATGGAACGGTGAAATGAAATGTGAGCTAAGATTGTGCCATTGCACTCCAGTCTGGGTGACAGAGTGAGACCCAGTCAAAATAAACTAATGGAATGCAACGGAGTACAATGGAAAGGAATTTATTGGAGGTGAATGGAATGGAGTGCAAAGGAGTGGAAAGGAGTTACATGGAGTTTAGTGCAATGGAGTGGAGTCTAATGGACTGGAATGGAGTGGAATGAAATGGGAAAGAATGGAGTGGAATGGAATGGAATGTTGTGGAATCGAATAGAATGGTACGGAAAGGAATGAACTGGAGTTGAGTGGATTTGAATGGACTGGATCGAAGTGCAATGGACTGAAATGGAACGTAGTGGAAAAGAACAGAATAGAATGGAATGGTGAATGAAATAAAAGGTGAGCTAAGATAGTGCCACTAAACTTCACTCTGGTGACAACGTGAGACACAGTCGAAATAAAGGAATGGAATAGAATAGAGTATTATGAAATGGAATGGAGTGGAGTGGAATGGAATGGAGTGGAATGGAGGAGAGTGGAGTGGAATGGAGTGGAGTGGAATGGAGTTGAAGGTAGTGGAACAGAATGGAAAAGACTGGAATTGATTGGAAGCGAGAGGCGAGGAGTGGAATGGACTGGTGTGGAAAGGAGTGGAATGAAATGGAATGGAATGGAGTTGAATGGAATGGAATGGAGTGGAATGGAATGGAGTAAAGTGGAATGGATTGTAGTGGAGTAGAATGGAATGGAATGCAGTGGAATGGAGTGGAGTGGAGTGCAATGGAGTGAAATGGAGAGGAGTGGAAAGGAGTGGAATTTAAGGGAATGGAGTGGAATGGAATGGAAAGGGATGGAACGGAATGGAAGGGATTGGAGTGGAGTGAAGTTGATTGGAGTGGAACGGAGTGCAGTGGAATGGAATGGAATGGAGTGGAGTGGAGTGGAGTGGAGTGGAATGGAATGGAATAGACTGGAGTGGTATGGAGTGGAAAGGAGTGGAATGGAATGGAGTGGAGTACCAAGGAATGGAGTGGAGAGGAATGGACAGGAGTGAATGCAGGAGAGTGGAATGGATTGGAATGCAATGGAATGGAATTCAGAGAAATGGAATAGAATGGAGTGGAATGATCTGGTACAGAATGGAAGGGAAAGGAATGGAATGGACTGGAGTGGAGTGGAGTGGGGTGGAGTAGAATTGAGTGGAGTGTAGGGGAATGGAAAGGAATGCAGTGCAATGTAATGCAATAAAATGGAACGCAATAGAATGGAGTGCAATGGAAGGCAATGGAATAGAATGTCGAAATGAAATGTGAGCTGTGATTGTGCCACAGCACACCATCATGGGTGAGAGAGTGAGAAACTGTCAAAAGAAATGAAAGAAATGTAAGGGAGTGGAAAAAAAAATGGAAGGGAGTGGAAAGGAATGGAATGCAGTGTATTTCAGTGAAGTGGAGTTGAGTGGAGTGGAATGGAGTGGAATGGAATGGGATGGAGTGAAAGGGAGGGGAGTGGAGTGGAATCGATTGGAGTGGAATGGAATAGAATGAAATGGAATGAAGTGAAGTGGAGTGGAGTGGAATGG
This sequence comes from Homo sapiens, assembly GCF_000001405.40. NCBI lineage: Eukaryota > Metazoa > Chordata > Mammalia > Primates > Hominidae > Homo > Homo sapiens. The sequence goes on along the minus strand of NC_000024.10, from coordinate 10,767,036 downwards.
AGTGGAGAGGAATGGAATGGGATGAATGGAGTGGAATGGAATGCCATGGATTTGAGTGCAGTGCAGTGGAATGGAGTTGAGTGGAATGTAATGTATTGGAATGGAATGGATTGGAGTGAAGTGGAGTGGAGAAGAGTGGAGTGGATTGGAGTCGAGTGGAATGGAATTGAATGGAATGTTGAAATGAAATGTGAGCTGAGTTTGGTTCAGTGCAATGGAGCCTATGTGACAGAGTGAGTTCCTTTCGAAAGAAAGGAATGTAATACAATGGAGTAGAATGGAAAGGAATGGAATTGAATAGAGTGGAGTGGAGTGTAGTGGAATGGAATGGGATGGAATGAAATGGAATGAAGTGGAGTGGAGTGGTGGGGAATGGAGTGGAATGGAATGGGATGGATAAGAATGGAGTGGAGAGGAACAGAATTGAGTGGAATGGAATGGAATGGAGTGGAATGGAGTGGAGTGGAGTGCTGGGGGATGGAATGCAATGGAATGGAGTGGAATGGATTTGAATGGAGTGGAGTGGAGTGGAATGGAGTGGAATGGAATGGGATGGAATGGCACGGAATGGAGTTGAGTGGAGTAGATTGGAATGGCGGGAAATGGAATAGGATGAAACGGCATGGAATGGAGTGGAGTGGAGTGGAATGAGATTGGATGGAGTGGAATGGAGTGGAGTGGAGTGGAGTGAAATGGAATGGAATGGAAAGGAATGGAATTGAAAGGAATGGAATGGAAAGGGGTGAAATGGAGTGGAATGCAATGGTGGAATGTATTCTGAGCTGAGTTTGTGCCACTGCACAGCAGCCTGGGTGACAGAGTGATATCCTATCAAAAGAAAGGAATGGAATGGCAAGGAGTGGAATGGAAAGGAATGGAATGGAGTGGAGTGGCATGTAGTGGTGTGGAGTGGAGTGGAATGGAATGGATAAGTGTGGAATGGAATGAAATGGAATGGAATGCAATGAAATGTTGAAACGAAATGTGAGCTGAGAAAGTGTCACTTTACTCCAGCCTGGGTGACAGAGTGAGATCTTGTCAAAAGAATGAAATGGAATGGTAAGGAGTGGAATAAAATGGAGTGTACTGGAATGGTGTGGAGTGGAGTGGAGTGAAATGAATGCAATTGGATTGAGTGGAATGGAATGGAGCGGACAGGAGTGGAGTGCATTGGAGTGGAATCGTGTGGAATGTATTGGGATGGAATGGAAAGGAGTGGAGTGGAATGGAATAGAGTTGAAAGGAATGGGATAGAATGGAATGGAGTGGAGTGGAGTGGAGTGGAGTGCAGTGAAGTGGAGTGGAGTGAAGAGGAATGGAATGGAATGTAATTTAAAGGAATGGAATGGAAAGGAAAGGAATGGAATGCTATGGTGAAATGAAACACGAGCTGAGATAGTTCCACTGCACTGCAACTGGGTGAAAGAGTAAGATCCTGTCGAAAGAAAAGAATGGAATTCAATGGAGTGGAATGGAACGGAGTGGAATGGAATGGAGTGGAGTAGAGTAGAGTGGAGTGGACTGTAGTGGAGTAGAGTGGAGTGGAGGGGAATGGAGTGGATTAGAATGGGATGGAGGGGAATGGATTGGTGTGAAGTCTAATGGAATGGAGTCGAGTCAAATACAGTGGAGTGGACTACAATAGAATGGAATGGAATGGAATGGAGTGGAGTGGAGTTGAATGGAAGGGAGTGGAATGGACTCGAATGAAATGAAAAGGAATGCAATTGATTGGAGTGGAGTGGAGTTGAATGGAAGGGAGTGGAATGGATTGGAAAGAAATGGAATGGAATGGAATACAATGGAATGGAATGCAATGGGAGAGAATGGTGAAATGAAATGTGAGTTGATATTGTGTCACTGCACTACAGCCTGGGTGAGAGAGTGAGATCCTGTCAAAAGAAAGGAATGGAATGGAACGAAATGGAAAGGAATGGAATGGAATGGAATTTAATGGAATGGAATGGAATGGAATGGAGTGGGATATAATGTAATGGGATGGAATGGAATGGAATGGAATAGAGTGGAGTGGAGTGGATAGGTGTGGAATGCAGAGCAATGGACTGGGATGGAATGGAATGGAGTGGAGTGGAGAGAAGGGCAGTGCAGTGAAATGGAGTGGAATGGATGGGATGGAGTGTAATGAAGTGGAGTAGACTGGAGTGGAGTGGACTGAAGAGGAATGGAATGGAGTTGAGTGGACGGGAGTGGTGTGGAATGGACAGGGATGGAATTGAATGGAGTGAAATGGCGTGGATGGGAGTGGAGTGGAGTGGACTGAAGTGTAGTGGAATGTAGTGGAATGGAATGGTCAAATGAAATGTGAAATGAGATGGCGCTACTGCACTCCAGGCTGTGTCACAGAGTGAGATCCAGTCGAAAGCAGGGAATGGAATGGAATGGAATGGAGTGGAGTGGAGTGGAATGGAATGGAATGGAATGGAATGGAATGGAATGGAATGGAATGGAATGGAATGGAATGGAGTGAAAATGGCATGGAATGGAATGGAATGGAATGGAATGGAATGGAATGGAATGGAATGGATTGGAATGGTGAAATAAAATGTGAGTCAAGGTTGTGCCTCTGCACTCCAGTCTGGGTGTCAGAGTGAGATTCAGTCGAAATAAAGAAATATAGTGGAATGGAGTAGATTGGAATAGAGTGGAGTGAAGAAGAGTGGAGTGGAATGGAGTGGAATAGAGTGGAATGGAGAGAAATGTATGGCAATGGAATGGAGTATAGCGGAATGGATTGGAGTGAAATGGAATGGAACAGAACGGAATGGCGTGGAACAGAATGGAACCGAGTGGAGTGGTGTGGAGTTGAGTGCAGTGGATCAGAGTGCAGTGGTATGGAATGGAATGGAATGGAATGGAATGGAACGGAATGCAGTGAAGTGGAGGGGAATGCAGTAAAGTGGACAGGAGTGGAGTAGAGTGGAATGCAATGGAACAAAACAAAAAGGAATGGAACAGAATAGAATGCAGTGGAGTGGAGTGGAGTGGAATTCAGTGAAGTGGACTGGATTGCAGTGGAATGGAATGGAATGGAGTGCAATGGAATGGAACGGAATGAAATTCAATGGAATAGAATGGAACGTAATTGAATGGAATGGAGTGGAATGCAATGGAATTGTTAATGAAAAGCGAGCTAAAATTGCGCGACAGCACTCCAGTATGCGTGACAGAGTGAGATTCATTCGAAATAAAGAAATGGAATGGAATGGAGTAGAATGAAATGGAATGGAGTGGAGTGGGATGGAATGAACTGAAATGGAGTGGAGCAGAGTGGAATGGAGTCGAGTGGAATCGAGTGCAGAGGAATGGAGTGGAATGGGGTGCAATGGAATATCATGGAAAGGAATGGAAGGGAAAGTAATGGCATAGATTGGAATGGAGTGGAGTGGAATGTAGTGGAGTGGAAAGTAGTGGAGTGGAATTGAGTGGAATGGAATAGAATGTGGTGGAATCGAATTGAGTGGAATGCAATGTAATGGACTGGAGTGGAGCAAAATTGAGTGGACTGTATCAGAGTGCAGTGGAATGGAATAGAATGTAGTGGAATCTAATGGAATGGAAGGGTGAAATGAAATGTGAGCTAAGATTGTGCCACTGCACTTCAGTTTGGCGACAAAGTGAGATCCAGTCAAAATAAAGGAATGGAATGGAATGTAGTGGAATGGAGTGGAATGGAGTGGATGGAAAGGAATAGAGTGGAGTGGAGTGGAGTGGAATGGAGTGGAGTGGAATGGAATGGAATGGAATGGAGTAGAGTGGAGAGGAAAGGAGTGGAGTGGAATGAAACGGAAGGGAATGGAGTGGAATGCAGGGCAATGGAGTGGTAAGGAGGGGAATGGAGTGAAATGGAGTGGAGTGGAATGGAATGGAATGGAGTGGAATGGAATGGAATGGAGTGAAATGGAATGGAATGGATTGGAATGGAGTGGAGTGGAGTGGAATGGAGGGGAGTGGAATGGAGTGGAAGGGAGTGTAATGGAATAGAATGGAATGCAGTGGAATGGAATGGAATGGAGTGGAATGGAAAGGAGGGGAGTGGAATGGAGTGGAGTGGAATGGAATGGGGTGGAATGGAATGGAACGGGACATAATAGAACAGAATGGAATCAAATGGACTGGAGTGGCATGGAGTTGAGTGGAGTGGATCAGAATGCAGTGGAATGGAAAGGAATGGAATGGAATGCAATTCAATGCAGAGGAGTGGAATGGAGTGGAGTGGAGTGGAGTGGATTCGAGTTGAATGGAAAGGTCTCCAATGGATTGGAATGGAATGGAATGGAACGGAATGGAATGTAATGGAAAGGAATGGTGAAATGAAATGTGAGCTAAGGTTGTGACGCTGCACTCCAGTCTGGGTGAAAGAGTGAGATTCAGTTGAAATAAAGGAATGAAATGGAATGGAAGGGAGTAGAATGGAATGGAATAGAGTGGAGTTGATAGGAGTGGAATGGAATGGAATGGAGTAGAATGGAATGGAAAGTAATGGAATGGAATGGGACGGAGTGGAGTGGAGTAGAATGGAGTGAAGTTGAGTGGAGTGGATAGGAGTGAAGTGGAAAGAAAAGGAATGGAATGGAATGGAATAGAGTGGAGTTGATGGGGTGGAGTGGAATGGGGAAGAACGTACTGGAGTGGTATGGAATGGAATGGTGTGGAATGGAATGGAAGGGAATGGAAGGGAATGGAATGGAGTATAGTGGAGTGGTATGGAGTGGAGTGTAATTAAGTAAAGTGGAATGGAGTGCAATGGAATGGAATGGAATTAAGTGTAATGGAATAGAATGAAGAGGAAAGGAATGGAACGGGATGGAACGGAGTGGAGTGGATTTGAGTGGAGAGGATCGGAGTGCAGTGGAATGGAATTTAATGGAATGGAATGGAATGAAATGGAATGGAATGCTATGACATGGTGAATGAAATGTGAGCAAAGATTGGGCAACTGCACTCCATTCTGGGTGACACAGTGAGATCTAATCGGAACAAAGGAATGGAATGGCACAGAGTATAATGGAATGAAACGGTGTGGAGGGGAATGGAATGGAGTGTGGTGGAGTGGAGTGGAGTGGATTTGACTCGAGTGGATTGGATTACATAGGAATGGAATGCAATGGAATGAAAGGAGTGGAGTGGAATAGAGTGGAGTGGAGGGGAGTGGAATGGAGTGGAGTTGAATGGTGTGAAATGGAATGGAATGGAATGGAATGGAATGGAATGGAATGGAATGGAATGGAATGGAAGGGTGAAAAGAAATATGATCTAATTTGGTGCCACTGCACTCCATTCTGGGTGACAGTTTGATATCCAGTCGAAATAAAGGAGTGGAATGGAATGCATTAGAATGGGAGGGAATGGAGTGGAGTGGAATGGAGTCAGGTGGAATGGAATGTAGTAGACTGGAATGCAAAGGAACGGAACGGAATGGATCAGAGGGAAGTCGAGTGAAGTTGAGTGGAGTCTATCGGAGTACACTGGAATGGAATGGAATGAAATGGAATGGAATGGAATGGAATGGAGTGAAATGGAATGGAGTGGAGTGGAAAGGAGTGGAGAGGAATGGAGTAGAATGGAATGGAGTGGAGTGGGATGGAATGGAAAAGAACGGAATGGAATCGAATGGAATGGAAGAGAATAGAGCAGAATGGAAAGGAATGAGTGGAGTGAAGTCGAGTTGAGTGGATTGGATCGGAGTATAGTGGAACGGAATGGAATGGAATGGAATGGAATGGAATGGAATGGAATGGAATGGAATGGAATGGAAAGGCTAATGAAATGTGAGCTTAGGTTGGGCCACTGCATTTTAGTCTTGGTGACAGAGTGAGATCCAGTTGAAATAAAGGACTGGAATGGAATGGAGTAGAATGGAATAGAATGGAGTGGAGTGGAATGGAATGCAGTGGAATGGAGTGGAGTGATGTTTAATGGAGGAGTGGAAAGCAGAGTGGAATGGAGTGGAGTGGAGTGGAATGTTGTGGAATGGAATGGAATGGAGTGGAATGGAGTGGAATCGAATGGAATGGAGTGTAATAGAATGGACTGGACTGGAGTGGAGTGGAGTGGAATGGAGTGGAAAGAAGTAAAACGGAGTAGAGTGGAATGGAGTGGAGTGGAATGGAATGCAGCCTAATGGAAGAGAGAGGAATAGACTGAAGTGGAGGAGAGTTGAGTGGAGTGGATGGTAGTGCAGTGCAAAGAAATGAAATGGAATACAATGGAAAGGAACGGAATGGAATGAAGTGCAGTGTAGTGGAGGGAAATGGAGTGGAGTGGAGTGGAATGGAATGCAATGGAATGGAATGGAATGGAATGGAATGGAATGGAATGGAATGGAATGGAAAGGCTAATGAAATGTGAGCTTAGGTTGGGCCATTGCACTTTAGTCTTGATGACAGAGTGAGATCCAGTTGAAATAAAGGACTGGAATGTAATGGAGTAGATTGGAATAGAATGGAATGGAATGAAATGGAACAGAAAGGAATGGAATGGATTGGGGAAATGAAATGAGACCTAAGATTGTGCCACTGAACTCCAGTAGGGTTCACAGAGTAAGTACCAGTCGAAATAAAGGAATGGAATTGAATGCAGTAGAATGGAATAGAATGGAGTGGAGTGGAATGGAATGGAGTGGAATGGAATGGAGTGGAATGGAGTGGAGTGGAGTGGAATGGAGTACAGTGGAATGGAATGGAGTGGAATGGAGTGAAATGGAATGGAAAGTAGTGGAATCATTCGGAATGCAGTGTAATGGAATGGAGTGGAGTGGAATGGAATGGAATGAAGTGAAATGGAGTGGAGTGGACTGGAGTGGAGTGGAATGGAAAGGAATGGAACGAAACAGAATGCAACCTAATGGAATGGAGTGGAGTAGAGTGAAGTGGAGTGGAGTTCAGTGGAGTGGGTGGGACTGCAGTGTAATGGAATGCAGTGGAATGGATTGGAATGGCATGGAATGGGGTGCAGTGTAGTGGAGGGGAATGGAATGGATTAGAATGGAATGGAATGGAATGGAGTGGAGTGGAATGGAATGGAATGGAATGGAGTGGAATGGAATGGAATGGAGTGGAATGGAATGGAATGCGGTGCAGTGTAGTGTAGTGCAATGGAATGGAATGGAGTGGAATGGAATGGAATGCGGTGCAGTGTAGTGTAGTGGAATGGAATGGATTAGAATGGAATGGAATGGAATGGAATGGAGTGGAGTGGAATGGAATGGAATGGAGTGGAATGGAATGGAATGGAGTGGAATGGAAATGAAGGGAGTGGGATGGAATGGAACAGAAAGGAATCTAATGCATTGGTGAAATGAAATCAGAGCTAAGATTGTGCCACTGCACTCCAGTAGGGGTCATAGTGTGAGATCCAGTATAAATAAAGGAATAAAATGCAATAGAGTAGAATGGAATGGAATGGAGTGGAATGGAATGGAGTGGAATGTAGTGGAGCGTAATGGAGTGGAGTGGAGTGGAAATGAGTGAAGTGGAATGGAGTGGAATGGAACATAACGGAATGGAAGGGAATGGAAAAGAATAGAATGGAATGGAATGGAATAGAATGGAATGGAAGGGACTAGAATGGAATTGAATGGAATGGAACATAGTGGAGTGTAGTGGAATGCAGTGGAGTTGAGTGGAGTGGATCGAAGTGCAGTGGAGGGGAATGGAATGGAATGGATTTGAATGGAATGGAATGGAATGGAATGGAGTGGAATGGAATGGAACAGTGAAATGAAATGTGAGCTGAGATTGTGTCACTCCACTCAAGTCTAAGTGACAGAGTGAGATCCAGTCAAAATAAAGGAATGGAAGGGAATAGAGTAGAATGGAATGGAATGGAGAGAAATGGAATGGAATCGAGTGGAAAGGAGTGGAATGTAGTGGAATGCAGTGGAATGGAATGGAGTGGAATGTAATGGTGTGGAAGAGAGCAGAATGGAGTGGAGAAGAGTGGAATGGAGTGTAAAGAAGTGGAATGGAATGGAATGGAGTGGCCGGAAATGGAATGGAGTGGAGTGTAGTAGAGTGGAATGGAGTAGAGTGGAGTGGATCGGAATGCCGTGGAATGGAATTGAATAAAACAGAATGGAACGGAATGGAATGGTCAAATGAAATGTGAGCTAAGGTTGTGCCACTGCACTCCAGTCTGGGTGTAAGAGTGATATTCAGTTGAAGTAAAGGAATCCAGTGGAACGGAGTAGAATGGAATGAAGTAGAGTGAAGTGGAGAGGAGTGGAGTGGAATGGAGTGGAATGGAGTGAAACATACTGCAGTACAATGGAGTATAGTGAAATGGAATGGAGTGGAAAGGAACGGAAAAGAACGAAATGGCATGGAACGGATTGGAATCGAGTGGAGTGGAGTAGAGTTGAGTGAAGTGGAGTGGAATGGAGTGGAATGGAGTGAAACATACTGCAGTGGAATGGAGTATAGTGAAATGGAATGAAGTGGAATGGAACGGAAAAGAACGAAATGGCATGGATCGGATTGGAACCGAGTGACGTGGAGTAGAGTTGAGTAGAGAAGTGTATTGGAGTGCAGTGGAATGGAATGCAATGTTATGGAATGGAATGCGATGGAATGGAGAAATGAAATGTGAGCTAAGATTGTGTTACTGCACTACAGTCTGGGTGAAAGTGTGAAATGCACTCGAAATAAAGGAATGGAATGGAATGCCTTAGAATGTAATGGAACGGAGTGGAGTGGAATTGAACGGAGTGGAATGGAGTGGAATGGAGATGGGTCGTGTGGAATGAAGTGGAGTGGAATTGAGTGGAGTGGAATGGAGTGGAATAGAATGGAATGGAATTTGGTGGAATCAAAGGAATGGGTCGGAATGGAGAGCAGTGGAGTGGAATGGAGTGGAGTGGAAAGGATTGGAGTGGAATGTAGTTGAACGGAGTGGATAAGAATGGAATGGAATGAAGTGGACTGGAATGGAAACTAGCGGAGTGGAAGGAAATTGAATGGAATGGTGTGGAATGGAATGGAATGGAGTGGAATGGAATGGATTGGAGTGGAGTGGAGTGCAGTGGAGTGTAGTGGAATGGAGTGAAATGCAGTGGAATGGAATGGAGTTGAGTGGAATGGAATGGAGTAGAATGGAATAGAAGAGAACAGAATGGAATGGAGTAGAGTGGAGTGGAGTATACTTGAGTGGAGTGCATCGGAGTGCAGTGGAATGGATGGTAATGCAATGGAATGGAATGGAATGGAATGGAGTGGAGTGGATTACACTAGAGTGGAGTTGAGTGGAGTGGATTGGAGTGGAATGGAATGGAGTGCAATGGAATGGAATGGATAGGAATGGAGTGAGGTGGAATGGAACGGAATGGATTGAAGTGGAAAGGAGTGGAGTCGTGTGAAATGGAATGGTGTGCAACGGAATGCAGTGGAGTGGAAGGGAATGGAGTAGAGTGGGGTGGATTGCATTGGAGTTGATTTGAGTGGAGTCGAGTGGGGTAGAGTGGAATGGAATAGAATGGAGTGCAGGGGAAAGGAATGGAATGAAATGGAATGGATAGGAATGTAATGGAATGGAAGGGAAGAGAGTGATATGGACTGGAGTGAAATGGAGTTGAGTGGATTTTATCACAGTGCACAGGAATGGAATGGAATGGAATGGAGTGGAGTGGAGTGGAATGGAATGGAATGCAGTGGAGTGGAGTGGAGTGGAGTGGAGGTTAGTGGATTGGAGTGGAATGGAATGGAGTGTTATGGAATGGAATGGTAGAGAATGGAATAGAGTGGAGTCAAGTAGGAGTGGGGTGGAATGGAACAGAGTGGAGTGGAGAGGATTTGAATGGAATAGAGTGGAATGGAATGGAGTGGAGTGCAATGGAATGGAATGGAATGGAAGGAATGGAATGGAATGGATAGGAATGGAGTGGAGTGAGGTGGAATGGAAAGGAATGGATTGAAGTGGAATGGACTGGAGTCGTGTGAAATGGAATGGTGTGCAATGGAATGCAGTGGAATGGAATGGAATGGAGTAGAGTGGAGTGGATTGGATTGGAGTGGATTTGAGTGGAGTCGAGTCGGGTGGAGTGGAATGGAATGGAATGGAATGGAATGGAACAAAGTGATATGGACTGGAGTGAAATGGAGTTCAGTGGATTTTATTAGAGTGCACAGGAATGGAATGGAATGGATTGGAGTGGAGTGGAGTGGAATGGAATGGAATGCAGTGGAGTGGAGTGGAGATGAGCGGAGTGGAGTGGAATGGTGTGGGGTGTGGTGGGGTGGAATGGGTGAGGATGGAGTAGAGAGGCGTGGTGTACGATTGAGGGGGGATGGCAGGGAATGGAGTGGAGTGGAGTGGAATGGATTGGAAGGGAATAGATTGGAATGGAATGGAGTGGAGTGGAATGGAATGGAGTGGAGTACAGTGGAGAGGAGTGGAGTGGAACGGAGTGGAATGCAGTGGAATGTAATGGAATGGAATGTAGTAGAATGGAATGGAATGGAGTGGAATGGAGTGGAGTGGAATGGAATTCAGAGGAGTGGAGTAGAGTGGAGGGGAATGCAGTGGAGTCGAATGGAATGGAATGCAATTGAATGGAATGTAATGCAATTGAATGGAATGAAATAGAATGGAAATGTGAAAGGAAATGTTAGCTGAGATTGTACCACAGCACTCCAGTTTGGGTGACAGAGTGAGATCCAGTCGAAATAAAGTAATGGAATGGAATCAAGTAGAAAGGAATGGAATGGAGTGGAGTGGAATGGAATGGAATGCAGTGGAATGTAGTGGATGGGAATGGAGTGGAGTGGAATGTAGTTGAGGAGAGTGGAGTGGAGTGGACTGGAATGGAATGGAGTGGAATGGAATGGAATGGAATGGAGTGGAGCAGAGTGCAGTGGAATGGAGATGAGGGAGATGGAGAGGAGTGGAATGGAGTGGAATGGAATGGAATGGAGTTGAATGCAATGGAGTAGAATGGAATGGAGTGGATTGGAGTGGAATGGAGTGCAGTGGAGTGGAGTGGAATGCAGTGGACTGGAATGGAACTGAGAGGAAAGGAACGGAAACTATCGGAAAAGACAAAATGGAATAGAGTGAAGTGGGGTGGAGTGTACTGGAGTTGAGTGGAGTGGATCAGAGTCCAGTGGAATGGAACACAATGGAATGGAATGGAATGCAGTGGAGTTTAGCTGAGTGTATTAGAGTGGAATGGAATGGAATGGAGTTCAATGGAATTAAATGGAATAGAATGGTGAAATGAAATGTGAGCTAAGATTGTGCTACTGCACTTCATTAAAAGTGACAGAGTGAGATCTGTTGAAATAAAGGAATGGAATGGAGTGGAGTAGAATGGAATGGAATAGTGTGCAGTGGAATGGAATGGAGTGTAATGGAGTGGAGTGGAGAGGAATGGAGTGGAGTGGAGATGAATGGAGTGGAGTGGTATGGAGTGGATTGGAATAAAGTGGAATGTAGTGGAATGGAATGGAATGTAGTGGAATGGAATGGAATGGAGTTGATTTGAGTGGAGTGGACTGGAGTGGAGGGGAATGGAGGTGAATGGCATCAGAAATAGTGGAGTGGAAGGGAGTGGAGTGGAATGGAATGGACAGTAATGGAATGGAATGGAATGGAATGGAATGGAATGGAATGGAACGGAATGAAACAGAGATGAGTGGAGTGGAGTGGAGTTGAGTGGAGTGGATTGGAGTGCAGTGGAATGGAATGGAGTGGAATGGAATGGATTGGATTGGAGTGGAGTGCAGTGAAATGGAGTGGAGTGGAATCGAGTGGAGTGGATTGGATTGGAAGGGAGTGGAATGGAATGGAGTGGATTGGAATGGAATGTGATGTAAAAGAATGGAATGCAATTGAACAGATTTGAATAGAATAGAACGGAATAGAATGGAGTGGAACGGAATGGAATGGAGCACACCAGAATGGAATGGAGTGGAGTGAATTGGAGTTGAGTTGAGTGGAGTGAAGTGGAGTTGAGTGCAATGGAATGGAATGTAATGGAATGGAACGGAATGGAACGGAACGGAATGGAACGAAATTGAATAGAATGGAATGGAATGGAATGGAATGGAATGGAATGGAATGGAATGGAATGGAATGGAATGGAATGGAGAGGAGTGGAGTGGAGTGGCGTGGAATGGAATGGAATGGAATGGATTGGAAGGGTGAAATGAAATGTGAACTAAGAATGTACCACTGCACTCCAGTCTGGGTGAGACAGTGAGTTCCAATCGAAATAAAGGAATGGAATGGAATGGAGTAAAATAGAATGGAATGGAATGGAGTGGAATGGAATGGAGTGCAGTGGAATGGAATGGAATGGAATGGAGTGGAATGGGAAGGAGTGGAGTGGAAGGGAATGGAGATGAGTGGAGTGGAATGTATTGAAATGGAGTGGAGTGGAATGGAGTCAGGTAGAATGCAATGGAGTGGAATCAAATGGAATGGAAAGGAAAGGAATGGAACCTAAAGTAGTGGAGTGGAATGGAGTGGAGTTGAGGGAAGTGGAGTGGAGTGGAATTTAATGGCATGTAGTGAGTTGGAGTGGAGAGGAATTGAGTGGAGATGAATGGAATGGAATTGAATGGAAGAGAACAGAATGGAACGGAATGAAATGGAAAGGAGTAGAGTGGAATGGAGCGAATTTGCATTGAGTCGAGTGGATTGGAGTACAGTGGAATAGAAAGGAATAGAATGGAGTGGGATGGAGTTGATTGGAGTGGAGTGAAGTGGGATGGAGTGTAATGGAGTGGAATGGAATAGAGTAGAGTGGAATGGAAAGGAATGGAATGCAATGGAATGAAATGGAATGGATTGGAATGGAGTGGAATTGAGTGGAGTTGAGTTGAGCAGAGTGGATCGGAGTGCAGTGGAATGGAACGGCATGGAATTGAATAGAGTAGAATGGAATGCAATGGAACCGAATGGAATGGAAAGGAAAGGAACGGAATGGAAGGAACCAGAATGGAGTGGAGTGGAGTGGAGTGGAGCTGAGTGCAGCGGAGTGGAGTTGAGTGGAATGCAATGGAATGGAATGGAATGGAACACAATGGAATTGAATGGAATGGAATGGAAAGGAATGGAATGGAAAGGTGAAGTGTAATGTGAGCTAACAATGTGCCACTGTACTCCAGTCTGGATAAGAAAGTGAGTTCCAGTCGAAATAAAGAATTAAATGGAATGGAGAAAAATCGAATGGAATGGAGTGGAGTGGAAGTGAAGAGATTGGAATGGAGTGTATTAGGGTGGAATGGAGTGGAGTAGAATAGACTGTAGAGGAATGGAGTGGAATTGAATGAAACTGATTGGAGTGGAATGGAAGAGAATGGGTTCAAATGGAGTGGAGTGAAATGGAATGGAGTTTAATGGTACGGAATGGAAAGGAATGGAATGGAACAGAATGAAACAGAGTGGAGTGGAGTGGAATGGATTTGAGTGAAGTGGATCGGAGTGCACTGGAATGGAATGGAATGGGATGGAATGGAATGGAATGGAATGGAGTGGATTGGAGTGGAATGGAGTGGAATGAAATGGAGTGGAGTAAATTGGAGCAGAGTGGAATAGAGTGGAATGGCGTGGAATGGAAAGGAGTGAATGGAATGGAATGGAATGGAATGCAACAGAATGGAATGCAATTATATGGTTTGGAATAGAATGGAATGGAATAGAATGGGACGGAAAGGCATGGAGCTCACTGGAATGGAGGTGAGTGGAGTGAAGTGAAGTGGACTTGAGTAGAGTGGAGTGGACGTGAGAGCAATAGAATGGAATGGAGTGGAATGGAATGGAATGGAATGGAGTGGAATGGAATGGAATGGAATGGAATGGAATGGAATGGAATGGAATGGAATGGAATAGAATGGAAGGGTGAAATGAAATGTGAGCTATGAATGTTCCACTACACTCCAGTCTGGGTGAGATTGTGAATTCCAGTCGAAATAAAGGAATGGAATGGAATAAATTAAAATACAATGGAAAGTTGTGGAGTGGAATGGAATGGATTGGAATGGAGTGGCGTGGAGTGGAATGGGGGGGAGTGGAATGGAATAGAATGGAATGGAAAAGAATGGAAAGGAGTGAAGTGGAATGGAATGGAAATGAGTGGAGTGCAATGGAGGGAATGGGTGAAATGGAGTGGAGTGACATGGAGTAGAGTGGAATGAAATGGAGTGGAATGGAATGGAACACAATGGAATGGAACAAAATGGAAAGGAGTGAAGTTGAATGGAATGGAGATGAGTGGAGTGGAATGGAGGGATTGGGTGAAATGCAGTGGAGTGTCATGGAGTGGAGTGGAATGCAATGGAGTGGAATGGAATGGAATGGAATGGAAAGGAATGGAACATAATGGAGTGGTGTGGAATGGAGCGTGGTCCAGGGAAGTGGACTGGAGTGAAATTTAATTGCACAGAGTGAATTGGAGTGGAGTGGAATTGAGTGGAGAGATGGAATGGAGTGGAATGGAAGAGAATGGAACGGAACGGAATACAATGGAACGGAGTGGAGTGGAATGGAGTGGAGTTGAGTTGAGTGGAGTGGAATGGGGTGGAGTGGAATAGAATGGAATGGTGTGGAGTGGAGTGGATTGGAGTGGAGTGCAGTGGAATGGAGTGGAATGGGATAAAGTGGAATGGAATGGAATGGAATGGAAAGCAATGGAATGGAATGGAATAGAACAGAATGGAGTGGAATGGAGAGGAATGGAGTTGAGTGGAGTGGATCGGAGTGCAATTGAATGGAATGGCATGGAATGGAATAGAATGGAATGGAGTGGAATGGAATACAATGGAACGGAATTGAATGGAATGGAACGTAATGGAACGGAACGCACCAGAATGGAGTGGAGTGGAGTGAAGTGGAGTGGAGTTGAGTGCTTTGGAGTGGAGTTGAGTTGAATGGAATGGAATCAATGGAATGGAATGGAATGCAATGCAATACAATGGAAAGGTGAAATGAAATGTGAGATAACAATGTGGGACTAGACTCCAGTCTGGGTGAGAGAGTGAGTTCCAGCCGAAATAAAGAATGGAATGGAATGGAGTAAAATCGAATGGAATGGAGTGGTGTGGAATGGAAAAGATTGGAATGGAGTGCAGTTAGGTGGAGTGGAGAGGAGTGGAATGGACTGGAGAGGAATGGAGTGGAATGGAGCGGAATGGAAGGAAATGGAATGGAGTGGAAAGGAAGAGAATGGATTGGAATTCAGTGGAGTGGAATGGAGTGGAGCGGAATGGAATGAAATGGAATGGAAAGGAATGGATTCGAATGGAACAGAATGAAATGGAGTGGAGTGGAGTAGAGTGAAGTGGAGTTCAGTGGAGTGGATCAGAATGCAGTGGAATGAAATGGAATGGAATGGAATGGAGTGGATTGGACTGGAGTGGAGTGAAATGGAGTGGAATGGAATGGAATAGAATGGAAAGGAATAATGTGAAACAGAAAGGATCGGAGTGAAGTGGAATGGGTTGGATCTGAGTGCAGTCTAATGGAATGGATTGTAAGGAAATGGAATGGAATGGAATGGAATGGAATATAGTGGAGTGGAGTCGAATGGAATGGAATTGAGTGGAGTGCAATGGAGTGGAGTGGAGTGAAATGGCAAAGAATGGAATGGAATGGAATGGAATGCAATGGAATTGTATGGAATGGAATTGAATTGTGAATGAAATGTGAGGTGAGATAGGGCCACTATACTTCATTCTGAGTGACAGAGTGAGATACTGTCGCAATAAAGGAATAGAATGGAAAGCAATAGAATGGAATGTAATAGAGTGGAGTGAAAGGAATGGAAAGGAAATAATTGGAGTGGCGTGGAGGGGAGTGGAGTTGAGCGGAGTGGATGGGAGTTCAGTGGAATGGAATGGAAAGGAATGGAATGGAGTGGAGTGGAGTGGAGTGGAATGGAATGAAATGGAGGATAGTGGAGTGGAGAGGAGTGGAGTGGAATGGAGTGGAGTGGAAAAGAAAGGAATGGAATGGAATGGAATGGAGCGGAATGGAATGGAATGGAATGGAATGGAATGGAATGGAATGGAATAGATTAGAATGGAATGGAGTGGAATGGATGGGAATTAAGTGAAGTGGAGAGGAGTGGAGTGGAATTAAGTGGAATGGAACAGAGCTGGGTGGAGTGGAATGGAACGGAATTGAACGGATTGGAATGGAAAGGAATAGAGTGGAGTGGAGTGGATTCAAGTAGAGTGGATCAGAGTGCAGTGGAATGGAATGGAATGGAATGGAATGGAATGGAATGGAATGGAATGGAATGAAATGAAATGTTTTATAATCATCAATGAAATGTGAGCTAAGATTGGGCCACAGCACTCCAGTTTGCGTGACACAGTGAGATTCAGTCGAAATAAAGGAATGAAATGGAATGGAGTAGAATGGAATGGAATGGAGTGTAGTGGAATGGAATACAGAGGAATGGAGTGTAATTGAGTTGAATGGAGTCGAGTGGAACCTAGTGGAGTGGAATGGAATGTCATGGAATGGAGTGGAATGGAATGGAATGGCATGAAAAGGAGTAGAGTGGAGAGGAATGGAGTGGAGAGTAATGCAGTGGAGTTGATTGGTGTAGAATGGAATGGAATGTAGTGGAATAGAATGGAATGGAATGGAATGAAATGGAATGGAGTGGTGTGAAATGGAGTTTAATGGAGTGTTGTGGGGTGGAGTGGAGTGGAGTTCTGTGGAATGCAATGGAATGGAATTGAATGGAATGGAAATGAATGAAATGGAATGGAATGGACTGCAATGGAATTGAATGGAATGGCATGGAATGGAATGGGGAAATGAAATCTGAGCTAAGATTGTGCCACTGCACTCCAGGATTTTTGACAGAGTGAGATAGATTCGAAATAAAGCAATTGAATGGAATGCAGTAGAATCGAATGGAATGGAGTGGAGTGGAACGGAATGGATTGTAATGCATTGGAGTGGACTGGAAAGGGGTGGAGGGTAATGGAGTGGAGTGGAGTGGAATAGAGTGGAATGGAATGGAATGGAATGGAATGGATTGGAATGGAATGGAATCGAGTGCATTGGGGTGGAATGGAGTGAAGCGGAATCGACTAGATTGGAATGGAGTGGAATGGATTGGAATGGAAAGGAGTGGAATGGAATGGATTGGATTGGAATGGAATGGATTGGAGGGAAGAGGAGTGGAATCGTGTTGAGTAGAGTGGAATGAGGTGGAAAGGAATGGAATGCAGTGGAATTCAACATATAAAACAGATTGGAATTGAAAGGAATGGAATGGAACGGAGTGGAGTTCAGTGGAGTTGAGTGGAGTGGATCACAGTGCAGTGGAATGGAATGGAATGGCGTGTATTGGAATGTAACGTAGTGGAGTGGAGTGTAATTGACTGGAATGGAACGGAGTGAAGTGGAATGGAATGCACTGAAATGGAATGGAAGGGAATGGAACAGAATAGAAAGGCATGGAGCAGAACGGAGTGGAGTGGCGTGGAGTGAAACTGAGTGGAGAAAATCAGAGAACAGTGGAATAGAATGGAAAGGAATGGAATGCAATTGAGTGGAGTGGAGTGGAATGGAGTGGAGTAGAATGGATGGGAGTGGAATGGAGTGGAATAGAGAGGAATGGAATTCAGTAGAATGGTGCGGAATGGAATGGAGTAGAATGGAACGGAATGGATTGGAACGGAGATGAGTGGGGTGGAGTGGAGTGGAATGGAATGCAATGGAAAGGAATGATAGAGAATGGAGCAGAACAGAGTAGAGTGGAGTACAGTGGACTTGAGTAGAGTGGAGTGGATCGGAGTGCAGTGGAATGGAATGGAGTGGACTGGAGTGGAATGAAATTGAATTGAGTGGAGCGGAGTGCAGTGGAGAGGAGTGGAATGGAGTGGAATGGAATGGAGTTGAGTGGAATGAAATGGAATGGAGTGGAGTGGACTGAAACTGAATTGAGTGGAGAGGAGTGCAGTGGAGTGGAGTGGAATGGAATGGAGTGGAATGAAATAGAATGGAGTGGAGTGGAATGGAATTGAACTGAATGGAGTGGAGTGCAGTGGAGTGGAGAGGAATAGAATGGAGTGGAATGGAATTGAACTGAGTGGAGTGGAGTGCAGTGGAGAGGAATGGAGGGTAGTGGAATAGAATGGAATGGAATGGAATGGAGTGGAGTGGAGTAGAATGAACTAGATTTTAGTGAAGTGAAGGGGAATGGAGTGGATTTGGGAGGATTGGAGTCGAATGGAGTGAAATTGAGTAGAGTGGATCGCAGGGCAGTTGAATTAAATGGAATTGAATGCAGTGGAGTGGAGTGGAGTGGAATGGAGCGAAGTGGAATGGAATGGAATGGAAAAGAACGGAAAGAAATGGAGCGGAATGGAATGGAATGGAACAGAGTGGAATGGAGTGGAGTGGAGTTAAGTGGATTGTCTCATAATGCAGTGAAATGGAATGGAATTCAATGGTATGTTATGCAATGGAATGGAATTGTATCGAATGGTGATTGAAATGTGAGCTAAGATAAGAACACTGCAATCCATTCTGAGTGACAAAGTGAGTTCCATTCTAAATAAAGGAATGGAATGGAATGGAGTTGAGCGGAATGGAAGGAGTGGATTGGAAGGGAATGGAATGGAACGGAGTGGAGTGGCTTGCCATGGAGAGGATTTGAGTGGAGTTGATCAGACTGCAGTGTAATGGAATGGAATGGAATAGACTGGAGTGGAGTGGAGTGGAGTGGAATGTGATGGAGTGGAATGGACAGGAATGGAATGGAGTGGAATGGAATGGAATGGAATGGAATGGAATGGAATGGAATGGTGAAATGAAATGTGAGCTAGATTGTGCCACAGCACTCCATTCTGGGTGACAGTGTGAGATCCAGTAGAAATAAAGGAATGGAAGGGACCGGAATAAAATGGAACGGAAAAGAACAAAGGGGAGAGGAGAGAATTGGAGTTGAATGGAGTTGACTGGAGTGCAGAGGAATGGAAGAGAATGCAATGGAATGGAATGGAATGGAATGGAATGGAATGGAATGGAATGGAATGGAATGGAATGGAATGGCATGGAAAGGAATGGAACGGAATGGAATGGAATGCAATTGAATGAATGCAATGGAATGGAATGGAATGATTAATGAAATGTTAGTTACGATTTGGCCACTTTATATCACGTCGAAGTAAAGGGATGGATTGGAACGGAGTAGAATGGAATGGAATGGAGTGCATTGGAATGGAATGGAATGGAGTGTAATGGAATGGAAAGGAATGGAATGGAATGGAACGGAATGGAGTGGAAAGGAGGGGAATGGAGTGAAGTGGAGAGGAATGGAGTGTAATGAAGTGGAATGTAATGAAGTAGAGTGGAGTGAACTGCAACGGAACGGAATGGAACGGAATGGAAATCTCTAGAGCAGAGTGGAGTGTAGTGGAGTTCAGAAGAGTGGATCGGAGTGCAGTGGAATGGAATGAAATGGAATGGAATGGAAAGAAATGCTATGGTTAATGAAATGTGAGCTAAGATTGGGACACGACACTCCAGTCTGTGTGAGAGAGTGAGATTCCGTCCAAATAAAGGAATGAAATGGAATGGAGTAGAATGGAATGGAATGGAGTGGAGTGGAATGGTTAATGAAATGTGAGCTAAGATTGGGCCACTGCATTCCGTTCTCGTTGTCAGAGTGAGATCCCATAGAAATAAAGGAATGGAATGGAATGTAGTAGAATGGAATGGAATGGAGTGGAGTGCCATGGAATGAAGTTG
>NC_000024.10:10744192-10747280 GCF_000001405.40 Homo sapiens | reverse complement strand
TTGAATGGATCAAACGTCGTGGAGTGGAGTGCAGTGGGGTGGGTTTGAGTTGAGGGGATCCGAGAGCATTGGAATGGAATGGAGTGGAATGGAGTGGAATGCAATGCAATGGTATGGAATGGAATGGATTGGAATGCAAAAAAATGGAATCGAACGGTGAAAAGAAACGTGAGCTAAGATTGTGCCACTGTACTCCATTCTGGGTGACAGAGTGAGATCCAGTCAAAATAATGGAATGGAATGGAATGGAATGGAATGGAATGGAATGGAATGGAATGGAACGGAATGGAATGGAATGGAATGGAATGGAGTTGAATGGAATGGAATGGAATGGAATGGAACAGAATGGAATGGAACGGAATGGAATGGAGTTGAATGGAATGGAATGGAATGGAATGGAATGGAGTGGACTGGAATGGAATGGAGTGCAACGGAATGGAGAGGATTGGAAAGGAGTGTAGTGGCCTGGAGTGGCGTGGAATAAAGTTGAATGAAGTGTAATGGAATACAATGGAATGGAGTTTAATTGAATGGAATTGAGTGGAGGAGAGTGGAGTGGAATACAGTGGAATGCAGTGGAGTGGAATGGAGTGGAGTGTAATGGAATGGAATGGAATGGAATTGAGTGGAAAGGAAATGAATGGAGTGTAATAGAATGGAGTGGAGTGGAGTGGATGGTAGTGGATTGGATTGGAATGGATTGAAGTGGAATGGAGTGGAATGGAGTGAAATGGAATGAAGTGGAGTGGAGTGGAGTGTAATAGAATGGAGTGGAATGGAATGGAAAGGATCAGAACAGAAAGGAAAGGAACAGAAAGGTGTAGAGAAGTGTGGAGAGGAGTACAGTGGAGTGGATCATAGTGCAGTGGAATAGAATGGAATAGAATTGAATGGAATGGAGTGGAGTGGAGGGGAGTTTAGTGCACTTGAGTGGAATGGACTGAGGTGGAATGGAGTGGTGTAGGGTGGAATGGAGTGGAATGGAATCGAGTGGAATGGAATGAAGTGGAATAGAGAGGAATGGAATTCAGTGGAATGGAGTGGAATCGATTTGAAAGGAATTTAATGAAATGGAGTGGAATGGAATGGAATGGAGTGAAATGAAGTGGACTGAAATGGAAAAGAATGGAACGAAACGGAGCGGAATACAATGGAGTGGAGAGGAGTGGAGTGGAGTGGATTTGAGTGGAGTGGATTGGAGTTCAGTGGTATGGAACGAAATGGAATGGAGTGGAGTGGACTGGAGTGGAATGGAATCGAGTGCATTGGAATAAAATGAAGAGGAGTGAATTGGAATGGAATGGAGTGGAGGGGAAGGGAGTGGAGTGGCGTGGAATGGAATGCAATGGAGTGGAGTTGAATGGAGAGGAATGGCCTGGAATGGAATGAAATGGAATGGAATGGATCTGAACAGAACAAAGTGGAGTGGAGTGGAGTGGAATGGAGTTGAGTGGAGATGATCAGAGTGCGGTGGAATGGAATGGAAGGGAACGGAATTGATGGAAGGGAATGGAATGGAATGCATTGGAATGGAATGGAATGCAACGGAATGAAATGGAATGGAATGGAATAGTGAAATGAAATGTCGACTAAGAATGTGCCTCTACATTCCAGTCCAAGTGATAAAGTGAGATCCAGTCGAAATAAAGGAATGGAATGATTTGTATTAGAATTGAATGGAATGGAGTATAGTGGAATAAAATGGAGTGCAGTGGAGTGGAATGGAGGGAGTGTAATGAAGTGGACTGGAATGGAGTGGAATGGCATGTAATGCAGAGTAAATGAATGGATTGGAATAGAGGGGAGGAAGCGAATTGAGTGGAGTGGAATGGAGTGGAGTGGAATGCAGTGGAACAGAGTGGAATGGAAAGGAAAGGAATAGAGTGGAATGGAGTGGAATGAAATGGAGTGGAATGGAATGGAACAGAATGGAAAGGAATGGAACGGAATGGAATGGAATCGAATGGAGTGGAATGGAATGGGATAAAATGTAACAGAGTGAAGAGGATTTTACTGGAGTGGAGTTGTGTGAAATGGAGTGGAATGGAATGGAATGGAACGGAGTGAAGTCGAGCGGAATGGACTGGAGTGGAGTGGAATGGAGTGCAGTGTAGTTCAGTGGAACGGAATGGAACGGAACAAATGGGAATGGAATGGAATGCAATGGTTAAATAAAATGTGAGCTGAGATTGTGCCACTGTATTCCAGCCTGTTTGACAGAGTGAGATCCTGTCGAAAGAAAGGAATGTAATGTAATGGTGTGTATTGGAATGGAGTGGAGTGGAGTGGAGTGGAGTGGAGTGGAGTGGAACGTGATGGAATGGAAAGGCACGGAATGGAGAGAAGTGGAGTGAAGTGTGTTGGAAAGGAGGGGAATGGAATCGGATGGAACGGAGAAGAGAGGAGTGGAGTGGAGGGCAGTGGAATGGAATGGAATGGAGTGGAGTGGACTTGAGTAGAGTGTAGTGGAATTGAGTGGAATCGAATGGAATGGAATGGTGAAATAAAATGTGAGCTAAGATTGGGCCACTGCACTCCAGCCTGTGACAGAGTAAGATCTTGTTGAAAGAAAGAATGGAAAGGAATGGAGAGAAATGCTATGGGATGGAATTGAATCGAGTGGACTGGAGTGGAATGTAACGGAGTGGAATGGAATTGGTTGGAATGGAATGCAATGGAGTGGAGTGGAGTGGTGTGGAATGAATTGGAGTGGAGTGGAGTGGTTTGGAATAGAGTGGAATGGAATGGGATGCAGTGGAATGGAATGGAATGGAATGGAATGGAATGGAATGGAATGGAATGGAATGGAATGGAATGGAATAGAATGTAGTGGAGTGCAGTGCAGTTGAGTGGAATGGAATGGAATGTAAGGGAATGGAATGGTGAAATGAAACGTGAGCTGAGATTGTGCCACTGCACTCCAGTCTGCATGACAGAGTGAGATGTTGTCGAAAGGAAGGAATGGAATGGAATGGAGTGGAATGGAATGGAATGGAGTGGAGTGGAATGGAATGGAATGGAATGGAATGGAATGGAATGGAATGGAATGGAATGGAGTGGATAGGAGTGTAGTGCAGTGGTGTAGAGT
>NC_000024.10:10691902-10694192 GCF_000001405.40 Homo sapiens | reverse complement strand
TGTGTGACTGAGGGAGATCATTTAAAAAGAAACGAAATGAATGGAATGGACAGGAATGGATTGGAATTGAACGGAATAGAATGGAATTGGATGGAATGGCATGGAATGGAGTGGAGTGGAGTGGTGTGGAGTGGAGTGGAATGAAATGGAATGGAATGGAATGGAGTGAATTGGATTGAGTGGAGTGGAATAGAATGGAATTGAATGGAATGGAATAGAAAGTTCAGTTGAGTGGATTGGAGTGGAGTGGAATGGAATTGAATGGAATGGAATGTGATGTAAGGAAATGGAATTGAGTAGATTGGAGTGGAGTGGAGTGGAATGGAGTAGGACAGAATGGGATGTAATGTAGTGGAGTTGAAAGGAGTGGAGTGAAGTGGAGTGGAATGGAAAGCAATGGAGTGGAGATGAGTGGAATGGAGTATAATGGAATGGAATGGAAAGGAATTGAATGGAATGGAATAGAATGGAATGGAATGCAACGGAACGGAAGGGTGAAGTGAAATTTGAGGTGAAATTGTGCCACTACACTCCAGCCTGTTTGATAGAGTGAGATCCTGTCAAAAGAAAGGAAACTTATGGAAAGGAGTGGAGTGGAATGTAACGGAATGAAATAGAGTGGAGTGGAGTGGAGTAGAGTGAAATGGAATGGAATGAGATGGAATATTGAAATGAAATGTCAGCTGAGATTGTGCCACTGCACTCCACCCTGCGTGACAGAGTGAGATCCTGTCGAAAGAAAACAAAGAATGGAATGGAATGGAGTGGAATGGAATGGATTGGGATTTAATGGAGTGGAGTGGAGTGGAGGGTGCTGTGGTGTGGTGGAATGGAGTGGAATGGAGTGAAATGAAACGGTGAAATGAAATGTGAGCTGATATTGTGCCACTGCACTCCTGCCTGTGTGACAGAGTGAGATACTGTCGAAATAAAGGAATGGAATGCAATGGAGTGGAATGGAATCTAATGGAATGGAATGGAATGGAGAGAAATGGGATGGAATGGCAGGGAGTGTAGTGTAGTGGAGTGTAGTGGTGTGGAATCAAATGGGATGGAGTGGAATGGAATGGATTGGGATTTAATGGAGTGGAGTGGGGTGGAGTGGAGTGGAGTGGAATGGAGTGCAATGGAATGGTGAAATGAAGTGTGAGCTCATATATTCCCACTGCACTCCAGCCTGTGTGAATGAGTGAAATCATTTCAAAAGAAAAGAATTCAAAGTAATGGACTAGAATTGAATGGAATGGAACAAAATAGAACGGAATTGGATAGAATGGCACGGAATGGAGTGGACTGGAGTGGAATGGAGTGGAATTAAATGGGATGGAGTGGAATGGAATGGATTGGAGTGCAGTGGATTGGAGTGGAATGGAATTGAATGGAATGGAAAAGAATGAAATGGAATCGAGTGGAATAGCGTGGAGAGGAGTGGAATGGAGTAGAGTGGAGAGGAGTGGAATGGAGTGAAATGAAACGGGATGTAATGGAACAAATTGGATTGGAGTGTAGTGGAATGGAGTGGAATGGACTGGAATGTAATGGAATGGAATGACATGGAGTGGAGTGGAGAGGAGTGCAGTGCAATGTATTGGGAATAAATGGAATGTAATGTAAGAGAATGGAGCAAAATGGAATGGAAAGGAATGGAATGGAATGGAATGGAATGGAATGGAGAGGAGTGGAGTGGAGTGGACTGCAATGGAGTGGAATAGAATATGATGGAATGCAATGGAGAGGAGTGGAGTGGAGTGGATTGGAATTCCATGGAATGGAAAGGGATTGAGTGGAATAGAGTGGATTGTACTAGATTGGAGTGGAGTGGACTGGAGTGTAATTGGGCAGAGTGGAGTGGACTGGAATGGAGTGGAGGGTAATGGAATGGAATTAAATGGAATGGAAAGGAATGGTGAAACGAAATGTGAGCTGAGGTTTTGCCACTGCACTCCATCCTGGGTGACAGAGTGAGATCCTGTTGAAAGAAAGGAATGGCATGGAAGGGAGTGGAATGGAATACAATGGAGTGGAGGGGAGTGGAGTAGATTGGCGTGGAATGGAGTGAAATGGAATGGAATGGAATGAGGCAGAGTGGAGTGGAGTGGAGTGGAATGGAATGGAATGAAATGGAATGGAGTGGAATGCATTGTAATGGAATGCAATGGAATGTTGAAATGAAATGCGAGCTGAGATTATGCCACGTTACTCCAGCCTTGGTGATAAAGTGAGATCCTGTCGAAAGAACAGAGTGGAATGGCAAAGAGAGGAATGGAGTGTAATGGAATGGAATGGATTG
>NC_000024.10:10682442-10691573 GCF_000001405.40 Homo sapiens | reverse complement strand
GCAGTGGAAAGGAATGGAAATGAGTGAAGTGAACGTGAGTGGAGTGGAGTGGAATAAAGTGGAAAGGAATGTAATGGTGAAATGAAATGTAAGCTGAGATTGTGCAACTGCAATCCAGCCTGTGTGACAGAGTGAGATCCTGTCCAAGGAAAGAATTGAATGGAATGGAGTGGAATGGAATGGAATGGAATGGAATGGAATGGAATGGAATGGAATGGAATGGAATGGAGTAGAGTGGAGTGGAACAGAGTGGGATGGAATGGGATCAAATGGAAAGGAATGGAATGGAGTGGATTGGAGTGGAGTGTTGTGGAATGGATTGGAGTGGAGTGGAGTCGTGTGGAAAAGAGTTGAATGGAATGGGATGGAGTGGAATGGAATGGAATGGAATGGAGTGGAATGGAATGGAATGGACTGGAATGTTGTGGAATGGAATGAATGGAATGGAATGGAATGGAATGGAAGGGAGTGGAGTGGAGTGGAATTCAGTGCAGTTGAGTGGAATGGAATGGAATGGAATGGAATGGAATGGAATGGAATGGAATGGAAGGGAGTGGAGAGGAGTTGACTGGAGTGGAGTGGAGTGGAGGGGAATGGAATGGTAGGGAGTGAAATGGAATGGAGTAGAGTGGAGTGCAGTGAAGTGGAGTGGAATGCAGTGGAATGCAATGGCATAGAATGGAGTGGAGTGGAGTGGAGTGGAGTGGAATGGAATAGAAAGGAAAGGTGAAATGAAATGTGAGCTGAAAGTGCAACACTGCACTACAGCCAGTGTGACAGAGTGAGATTTTCTCGACAGAAAGTAATGGAATGGAATGGAATGGAATGCAATGGAATGGAATGGAATGGAATGGAGTGGAGTAGAGTGGAGTGGAGTAGTGTGGATTTGAGTGGAATGGCTTGGAATGGGATGAGAGGGAATGCAATAGAGTGGAGTGGAGTGGAATTGAATGGGATGGAATGGGATGGAGTGTAGAGTAGTGGAGTAGAGTGAAGTGGAATGGAATGGAATGAAATGCAGCAGATTGGAATGGAATGGTATGGAATAGTATGGAATTGAATGGAATGCAATGTAAGGGAATGATGAAATTAAATGTGAGCTGATATTGTGCCACTGCTCTATAGGCTGGGTGACAGAATGAGATCCTGTCGAAAGAAAGGAATGGAATGGATAGGAGTGGGATGAAATGGAATGTAACTGAATGGAGTGGACTGGAGTGAAGTGGAATGGAGTGGAATGGAAGGGAATTGAGTGGAGTGGAGTGGAATGGAATGGAATGGTGAAATGAAATATGAACTTAAGTTTTGCCACTGCACTTTAACCTGTGTGAGAGAGTGAGATCCTGTCGAAAGAAAGGAACGGAATGGAATGGAGTGGAGCGGATTGGAATGGAAATGAACGGAGTGCAGTGGAGTGGAGTGGAATGGAGCAGAGTGGAATGGAATGGAATGAAGTGGAATGGAATGGAATAGAATGGAAAGGTGAAATGAAATGCGATCTGAGATTGTTCCACTGCACTGCAAGCAGGGTGAGAGAATGAGATCCTGGTGAAAGAAAGGAATGGAATTCAATGGAGTGTAATGGAATGGAGTGGAGTGAAGTCAAGTGGACAGAAGTGGAGTAGAGTGGAGTGGAGGGGAATGAAGTGGAATACAATGGGATGGAGGGGATTGGAATGGAGTGGAGAGTAGTGGAGTGCAGCGGAGTCAAGTGGAGTGCAGCGGAGTGGACAAGAGTGGAAAGGAATAGGAAGGAATGGAATGGAATGGAATGGAATGGAATGGAATGGAATGGAGTGGAATGTATTGGAGTTGAATGGAATGTAGTGGAATGGAATTGAATGAAATGGAATGGAATGCAATACAATTAATGGAATGCAACGGAATGTAATGGAATAGAACTGTGAAATGAAATGTGAGATGAGATTGTGCCACTGCACTCCAGCATGGGTGAGGGAGTGAGATTCTGTCGAAAGAAAGGAATGGAATGTAAGGGAGTGGAATGGAATGGATTGGAGTGGAGTGGAGAGGAGTGTAATGGAGTGGAGTTGAATGGAATGGAATGGAATGGAAAAGAGTGGAAAGGAATGGAATGAAATGGAATGGAATGAAATGCAATGGAATACAATGGAATGGTATAGAATGTAATGGAATGCAACGGAATGCAATGGAACGGAATACCATGGAATGGAGTGCAATGGAATGCAATGGAATAGCATGGTGAAATGTAATCTGAGCTCAGATTGTGCCACTACACTCCAGCCTGGGTGAGAGAAAGAGATCCTTTCAAAAGAAAGGAATCAAATGGAAGGTGTGGAATGGAATGGAAGTGAGTGGAATGGAATGGAATGGAATGGGATAGAATGGAGCAGAGTGGAGTTGACTGGAGTGGAATGGATTGGAATGGAATGGGATGGAGTGGAATGGAGTGGACTGGAGTGGAGTGGAGTGGAGTGGAATGGAGTGGAGTGGCATGGAATTGGATGGAATGGAATGGAGTAGATTGGAGTGGATTGGAGTGGAATGGAATGGAATGGAATGGAATGGAATGGAATGGAATGGAATGGAATGGAGTGGAATGGTGAAACGAAATACGAGCTGATATTGGTCACTGCAGTGCAGTCTTTGTGACAGAGTGAGATCCTCTCGAAAGAAAGGAATGGAATGGAGTGGAATGTAATGTAATGGAATTAAATGGAGTGGAATGGAGTGAAATGGAATGGAATGGACTGGAGTGGAGTGAAGTGGAGTGCAGTAGAGTAGAATGGAATGGAATGGAAAGGAATGGAATGGAATGCAATGGTAAAATGAAATGTGAGCAGAGATTGTGTCATTACACTCCAGCCTGGTTGAGTGTGAGATGCTGTTGAAAGGAACAGATGGAATGTAATAAAATGGAATGGAAGGAAATGGAAAGGAATGGATTGGAGAGGAGTACAGTGGAGTTTAGTGGAGCAGAGTGGAGAGGAGTGGAATGGAGTGAAATGGGACGGCATGGAATGGAATGAAGTGGAGTAGAGTTTAGTGGAATGGAGTGGAATGGAATGAAATGGAGTGGAGTGGAATGGAATGGAATGGCGTGGAGTGGATTGCAATTAAATGGAAGGCAATGAAAGGAAATGCAATGGAATAGTGAAATGAAATGTGAGTTGAAATTGTGCCACTGCACTCCAGCCTGAGGGACAGAGTGAGATACTTTTGAAAAAAAGGAATGGAATGTAATAGAGTGGAATGGATTGTAATGAAGTGGAGATGAGTTGACTGGAGTGGAGTGCATTGGAGGGGAATGGAATGGTAGGGAGTGGAATGGAATGGAGTGGAGTGGACTGCAGTGAAGTGGAGTGGAATGGAGTGGAATGCAATGGGATGGAATGGAGTGGAGTGGAGTGGAGTGGAAAGGAGTGGAAAGAAATGCTGAAATGAAATGTGAGCTGAAAGTGCAACACTGCACTACAGCCAGTGTGAGAGTGAGATTTTCTGGACAGAAAGTAATGGAATGGAATGGAAAGGAATGGAATGGAATGGAGTGGAGTGGAATGGAATGGAGTGGAGTGGAATAGAATGGAATGGAATGAAATGGAATGGAATTGAGTGGAGTTGTGTGGAGTGGAGTGCTGTGCATTTCAGTCGAATGGCGTGGAATGGGATGGGAGGGAACGCAGTTGAGTATACTGGAGTGGAGTGGATTGGAATTGAATGGGATGGAATGGGATGGAGTATAGAATAGTGGAGTAGAGTGGAGTGTAATAGAGTGGAATGGAATGGAATGTAACGGAATGTAGTGGAAAGGAGGGGAATGGAGTGAAGTGGAGAGGAATGGAGTGTAATGAAGTGGAATGTAATGAAGTAGAGTGGAATGGACTGCAACGCAACGGAATGGAACGGAATGGAAATATCTAGAGCAGAGTGGAGTATAGTGGAGTTCAGAAGAGTGGATCGGAGTGCAGTGGAATGGAATGAAATGGAATGGAATGGAATGGAATGGAATGGAATGGAATGGAATGGAATGGAAAGAAATGCTATGGTTAATGAAATGTGAGCTAAGATTGGGACACGACACTGCAGTCTGTGTGAGAGAGTGAGATTCCGTCCAAATAAAGGAATGAAATGGAATGGAGTAGAATGGAATGGAGTGAAGAGGAGTGGAATGGTTAATGAAATGTGAGCTAAGATTGGGCCACTGCATTCCGTTCTCGTTGTCAGAGTGAGATCCCATCAAAATAAAGGAATGGAATGGAATGTAGTAGAATGGAATGGAATGGAGTGGAGTGCTATGGAATGAAGTGGAATGGAGTGGAGTGGAGTGGCATGGAGTGCAGTGGAATGGAGTGCAGTGGAATGGAGTAGAATGGAGCAGAATGGAAAGGCATGGAATGCAGTGGAATGGAATGGAATGGAGTGAAATGGAGTGGAGTGGAATTGAGTGGACTGGAATGGAATGCAACTGAACGAAACGGAACAGAATGGCATAGAATGGAGCGAAGTGGAGTGGAGGAGAGTGGACTGGAGTTTAGTGGAGTGCATCAGAGTGCAGTGGAATGCAATGCAAAGGAAAGGAAACGAATGGAATGGAGTGGAGTAGAATGGCGTGGAATGGAATGGAAGGAAATGGAGTGGAGTGGAGTGGAATGGAATGGAGTGGCGTGGAATGGAATGGAAAGGAATGGAAAATAATTTAATGGAAAGGAACGGAATGGAATGGAATAGAATGGATTCGAATGCATAGGAATGGAATCGAATGGTGAAAAGAAATGTGAGCTACGACTGTGCCACTGCACTCCAGTCTGGGTGACAGAAAGATATCCAATCAAAATAACGGAATGAAACGGAAAGGAGTGGAATGGAATGGAATGGAGTGGAGTGGAATGGAATGGAGTACAATGGAGTGGAAAGGAGTGGAATGGAGTGGAAAGGAGTGGAATGGAGTAGAATGGAGTGGAATGGAATGGAATGGAATGGAGTGGAATGGAATGGAGTGGAATGAAGTGGATTGGAGTGGAATGGAGATGAGTGGAATGGAGTGGAGTGCAATGGAGTGGAATGGAGTGGAGTGGAACGGAGTGGAATGGCGTGGAAAGAATGGAATGGAATGTAACGGAATGGAATGGAAGGGATTGGAATGGAATTGAGACAAGTGGAGTGGATTGAAGTGGATAGGAATGGACAGAAATGGAGTGCAGTGGAATGGAGGGGGGTGGAATGGAATTGAGTGGAATAGAATGGAAGAGAACAGAATGGAATGGAATGGAACGGAATGGAGTCGAGTGGAGTGGAGTTGAGACGAAATGATCGGAGTGCAGTGGAATGGAATTGAATGGAATATGGTGGAGTGGATTGGAGTAGAGTGGAGAGGAATGGAAAGGAAAGGAATGCAATGGAGTGGACTGGAGTGGTGTGAAGTGGAGTTGAGTGCAATGGAGTGGAGTGGAGTGGAATAGAGTGGAATGGAATGGATTGGATTGCAATAGAATGGAGTGGAATGCAATGGAAGGGAATGGAACAGAATGGAATTGAATGGATCAAACGTTGTGGAGTGGAGTGCAGTGGGGTGGGTTTGAGTTGAGGGGATCCGAGAGCATTGGAATGGAATGGAGTCGAATGGAGTGGAATGCAATGCAATGGTATGGAATGGAATGGATTGGAATGCAAAAATTGGAATCGAACGGTGAAAAGAAACGTGAGCTATGATTGTGCCACTGTACTCCATTCTGGGTGACAGAGTGAGATCCAGGCAAAATAATGGAATGGAATGGAATGGAATGGAATGGAATGGAATGGAATGGAATGGAGTTGAATGGAATGGAATGGAATGGAATGGAGTGCACTGGAATGGAGTGGAGTTCAACGGAATGGAGAGGATTGGAAAGGAGTGTAGTGGCATGGAGTGGCGTGGAATGAAGTTGAATGAAGTGTAATGGAATGCAATGGAATGGAGTTTAATTCAAAGGAATTGAGTGGAGGGGAGTGGAGTGGAATACAGTGGAATGCAGTGGAGTGGAATGGAGTGGAGTGGAATGGAGTGGAACGGAATGGAATGGAATTGAGTGGAATGGAAATGAATGGAGTGTAATAGAATGGAGTGGAGTGGAGTGGATGGTAGTGGAGTGGATTGGAATGGATTGAAGTGGAATGGAGTGAAATGGAATGAAGTGGAATGGAGTGGCGTGTAATAGAATGGAGTGGAATGGAATGGAAAGGATCGGAACAGAAAGGAAAGGAATGGAAAGGTGTAGAGTAGTGTGGAGAGGAGTAGATTAGAGTGGATCATAGTGCAGTGGAATAGAATGGAATAGAATTGAATGGAATGGAGTGGAGTGGAGGGGAGTTTAGTGCACTTGAGTGGAATGGACTGAGGTGGAATGGAGTGGTGTAGGGTGGAATGGAGTGGAATGGAATCGAGTGGAATGGAATGAAGTGGAATAGAGAGGAATGGAATTCAGTGGAATGGAGTGGAATCGATTTGAAAGGAATTTAATGAAATGGAGTGGAATGGAATGGAATGGAGTGCAATGAAGTGGAGTGAAATGGAAAAGAATGGAACGAAACGGAACGGAATACAATGGAGTGGAGAGGAGTGGAGTGGAGTGGATTTGAGTGGAGTGGATTGGAGTTCAGTGGTATGGAACGGAATGGAATGGAATGGAATGGAGTGGAGTGGACTGGAGTGGAATGGAGTCGAGTGCATTGGAATAAAATGAAGAGGAGTGAATTGGAATGGAATGGAGTGGAATGGAGTGGAGGGGAAGGGAGTGGAGTGGCGTGGAATGGAATGCAATGGAGTGGAGTTGAATGGAGAGGAATGGCCTGGAATGGAATGAAATGGAATGGAATGGATCTGAACAGAACAAAGTGGAGTGGAGTGGAGTGGAATGGAGTTGAGTGGAGATGATCAGAGTGCAGTGGAATGGAATGGAAGGGAACGGAATTGATGGAAGGGAATGGAATGGAATGCATTGGAATGGAATGGAATGCAACGGAATGGAATGGAATGGAATGGAATGGAATGGAATGGAATGGACTAGTGAAATGAAATGTCGGCTAAGAATGTGCCTCTGCATTCCAGTCCAAGTGATAAAGTGAGATCCAGTCGAAATAAAGGAATGGAATGATTTGTAGTAGAATTGAATGGAATGGAGTATAGTGGAATAAAATGGAGTGCAGTGGAGTGGAATGGAAGGAGTGTAATGAAGTGGATTGGAATGGAGTGGAATGGACGGGAATGGCATGGAATGCAGTGTAAATGAATGGATTGGAATAGAGGGGAGGAAGCGAATTTAGTGGAGTGGAATGGAGTGGAGTGGAATGCAGTGGAACAGAGTGGAATGGAATGGAATGGAATAGAGTGGAATGGAATGGAATGGAATGGAGTGGAATGAAATGGAGTGGAATGGAATGGAACAGAATGGAAAGGAATGAAACGGAATGGAATGGAATCGAATGGAGTGGAATGGAATGGGATAAAATGGAATAGAGTGAAGAGGATTTGAGTGGAGTGGGGTTGTGTGGAATGGAGTGGAATGGAATGGAATGCAACAGAATGGAATGGAATGGAATGGAATGGAATGGAATAGGGAAATGAAATGTCGACTAAGAATGTCCCTCTGCATTCCAGTCCAAGCGATAAAGTGAGATCCAGTCGAAATAAAGGAATGGAATGATTTGTAGTAGAATTGAATGGAATGAAGTATAGTGGAATAAAATGGAGTGCAGTGGAGTGGAATGGAGGGAGTGTAATGAAGTGGATTGCAATGGAGTGGAATCGAGGGGAATGGCATGGAATGCAGTTTATATGAATGGATTGGAGTAGAGGGGAGGAAGCGAATTGAGTGGAGTGGAATGGAGTGGAGTTGAATGCAGTGGAACAGAATGGAATGGAATAGAGTGGAATGGAATGGAATGGAGTGGAATGAAATGGAGTGGAATGGAATGGAACAGAATGGAAAGGAATGGAATGGAATGGAATGGAATCAAATGGAGTGGAATGGAATGGGATGAAATGGAACAGAGTGAAGAGGATTTGAGTGGAGTGCAGTTGTGTGGAATGGAGTGGAATGGAATGGAATGGAACAGAGTGAAGTCGAGCGGAGTGGACTGGAGTGGAGTGGAATGGAGTGCAGTGCAGTTGATTGGAACGGAATGGAACGGAACAAAAGGGAATGGAATGGAATGCAATGGTTAAATGAAATGTGAGCTGAGATTGTGCCACTGTATTCCAGCCTGGTTGATAGAGTGAGATCCTGTCGAAAGAAATGAAAGTAATGTAATGGTGTGTATTGGAATTGAATGGAATGGAATGGAGTGGAGTGGAGTGGAGTGGAGTGGAGTGGAGTGGAGTGGAGTGGAGTGGAATGTGATGGAATGGAAAGGCACAGAATGGAGAGAAGTGGAGTGAAGTGTGTTGGAAAGGAGGGGAATGGAATTGGATGGAATGGAGAAGAGAGGAGTGGAGTGGAGGGCAGTGGAATGGAATGGAATGGAGTGGAGTGGACTTGAGTAGAGTGTAGTGGAATTGAGTGGAATCGAATGGAATGGAATGGTGAAATGAAATGTGAGCTAAGATTGGGCCACTGCACTCCAGCCTGTGACAGAGTAAGATCTTGTTGAAAGAAAGAATGGAAAGGAATGGAGAGAAATGCTATGGAATGGAATTGAATCGAGTGGACTGAAGTGGAATGTAACGGAGTGGAATGGAATTGGTTGGAATGGAATGCAATGAAGTGGAGTGGAGTGGTGTGGAATGAAATGGAGTGGAGTGGAGTGGTTTGGAATAGAGTGGAATGGAATGGGATGCAGTGGAATGGAATGGAATGGAATGGAATGGAATAGAATGTAGTGGAGTGCAGTGCAGTTGAGTGGAATGGAATGGAATGGAATGGAATGGAAGGGAATGGAATGGCGAAATGAAACCTGAGCTGAGATTGTGCCACTGCACTCCAGTCTGCATGACAGAGTGAGATGTTGTCGAAAGGAAGGAATGGAATGGAATGGAGTGGAATGGAATGGAATGGAGTGGAGTGGAATGGAATGGAATGGAATGGAATGGAATGGAATGGAATGGAATGGAATGGAATGGAATGGAGTGGAATGGAATGGAGTGGAGTGGATAGGAGTGTAGTTCAGTACTGTAGAGT
>NC_000024.10:10676544-10679715 GCF_000001405.40 Homo sapiens | reverse complement strand
CCTCTGAAAAGAAAGGAATGGAAAGAAATGGACTGCATTGGAATGCTATGGAGTGGAAAGTTAAAAGGAAATGTGAACTGACATTGTGTCACTGCACTCCACCCTGCGTCAAAGAGTGATATCCTGACGAAAGAAAGGAAAGGAATTGAATGGAGAGGAATGGAATGGATTAGGATTGAATGGAGTGGAATAGAATTGAGTGGGGTGGAGTGGAGGGGAGTGGAATGGAGTGGAATGGAGTGCAATGGAATGGTGAAATGTAGTGTGAGCTCAGATATTCCCACTGAACTCCACCATGTGTGACTGAGTAAGATCGTTTCAAAAGAAACGAATGGAATGGAATGGACTGGAATGGATTGGAATGGAATGGAAGAGAATGTAATCGGATGGAATGACATGTAATGGAGTGGAGTGGATTGGAGTGGAATGAAATGGGATGGAATGGAATGGAGTGAATTGGAGTGGAGTAGAGTGGCGTGGAGTGGAATGGAATAGAATGGAATGGAATGTGATGTAATGGAATGGAAGGGAATGGAATGCAATATAGAGGATTGCAGTTGAGTGGATTGGAGTGGATTGGAATTGAATGGAATGGAATGGAATGTGATGTAATGCAATGGAATTGAGTAGATTGGAGTGGAGTGGAGTGGTGTGGAATGGAGTGGGATAAAATGGGAAGTAATGTAGAGGAGTGGAAAGGAGTGGAGTGAACTGGAGTGGAATGGAGTGGAATGCAGTGGAGTTGATTGAAGTTGAGTAGAATGGAATGGAATGGAATGGAATGGAATGGTGGAGTGAAATTTGAGGTGAGATTGTGCCACTACACTCCAGCCTCTTTGATGGAGTGAGACCCTATCAAAAGAAAGGAAAGGAATGGAAAGGAGTGGAATGGCATGGAATGGAATGGAAAGGAAAGGAATGGAATGGAATGGAATGGTGGAGTGAAATTTGAGGTGAGATTGTGATACAACACTCCAGCCTGTTTGATGGAGTGAGAGCCTGTCAAAAGAAAGGAAAGGAGTGGAAGGAAGTGGAATGGAATGGAATGGAAAGGGAAGGAATGGAATGGAATGGAATGGAATGGAATGGAATGGAATGGAATGGAATTGGGTGGAGTGGATTGGAGTGGAGTGGATTGGAGTGGAGTGGAGTGGAATGGTTTGGAATGGGATGGAATATTGAAATGAAATGTGAGCTGAGATTGTGCCACTGCACTCCACCCTGCGTGACAGAGTGAGATCCTATTGAAAGAAAGCAAAGGAATGGAATGGAGTGGAATGGAATGGACTGGGATTTAATGGAGTGGAGTGGATTGGAGTGTGGTGTAGTGGAATGGAGTGGTACTGAGGGAAATGAATTGTGAGCTGAGATTGTGCCACTGCACCACAGCCTGTGTGACAGGGTGAGATACTGTCGAAAAAAAGGAATGGAATCAAATGGAATGGAATGAAATGGGATGGAATGTCCCAGAATGGAATGTAGTGAAGTGTAGTGGTGTGGAATGAAATGGGATGGAGTGGAATGGAATAGAGTGGAGTGGAGTGGAATGGAATGGAATGGATTGGAATTGAGTGGATTGGAGTGGAGTGGAGTAGAATGGAATGGTATGAAATGGAGGGCAGTGGAGTGGAGTAGAGTGGAAAGGAATGGAATCGAATGGAATGGAATGGAGTGGAGTGGAATGCAATGGAAAGCAATCCTGAAATCTAATGTAAGCTGAGATTACGCGACTGCACTCCACACAGAGTGACAGAGTGAGATCCTGTCAAAAGAAAGGAATGGAAAGAAACGGACTGCAATGGAATGCTGTGGAGTGGAAAGTTGAAACGAAATGTGAACTGAGATTGTGCCACTGCACTCCACCCTGCGTGAAAGAGTGCTATCCTGATGAAAGAAAGGAAAGGAATGGAATGCAGTGGAATGGAATGGATTCAGATGGAATGGAGTGGAATGGAGTGGAGTGGGTTGGAGTGGAGTGGAATGGAGTGTAATGGAATTGTGAAATGAAATGCAAGCTCAAATTTTCCCACTGCACTCCAGCCAGTGTGACTGAGTGAGATCCTTTCAAAAGAAACAAATTGAATGGAATGGAATAAAATAGAATTGGACTGAATTGAATGGATTGGTGTGGAGTGGAATGAAATGGGATGGAATGGATTGGAGTGAATTGGAGTGGAGTGGAGTGGACTGGAATGGAATGGAATGGAATGGAATGGAGTGGAATGGAATTCGATGGAGTGGGATGGAATGGAATCAGTTGGAATGTAACGCAATGGAGTGGAGTGGAGTGGTGTAGAATGGAGTGGAATGGACTGGGATGGAATAAAATGCAATGGAGTGGAGTGGAGTGGAGAGGAGTGGAGTGGAGTGGAATGGAATGGAATGGAATGGGAAGGAATATTGAAATGAAATGTGAGCTGAGATTGTACCACTGCACTCCACCCTGCGTGACAGAGTTAGATCCTATTGAAAGAAAGCAAAGGAATGGAGTGGAATGGAGTGGAATGGAATGGATTTGGATTTAATGGAGTGGAGTGGAGTGGAGTGGGGTGTGGTGTAGTGTAGTGGAGTGGTATGGAGGGAAATGAAATGGTGAAATGTTTTGTGAGCTGAGATTCTGCCACTGCACACCCAGCCTGTGTAACCGAGTGAGATACTGTTGAAAAAAAGGAATGGAATGCAGTGGAGTGGAATGGAATCAAATGGACAGGAATGGAAAGGAATGAAATGGGGTGGAATGGCAGGAAATGGAGTGTAGTGGACCGTAATAGTGTGGAATGAAACGGGATAGAGTGGAATGGAATGGAGTGTAGTGGAGTGGAGTGGAGTAGAGCGGAATGGAATGGGATAGAATGGAATTGAGTGGATTAGAGTGAAGTGGAGTGGAATGGAATGGTATGAAAAGGAGTGCAGTGGAGTGGAGTGGAGTAGAGTGAAATGGAGACAAAACGAGTGGAATGGAATGGAATGCCATGATGAAATGTAATGTGAGCTGAGATTATACGACTGCACTCCACCCTGAGTGACAGAGTGAGATCCTGTCAAAAGAAAGGAGTGGAAAAAAAGGGACTGCAATGGAATGCTATGGAGTAGAAAGTTGAAATGAAATGTGAACTGAGATTGTGCCACTGCACTACACCCTGCGTGAAAGAGTGATATTCTGACGAAAGG
>NC_000024.10:10670732-10674058 GCF_000001405.40 Homo sapiens | reverse complement strand
GGTGAGCTGAGATAGTGCTACTGCATTCCTGCCCGGGGGACAAAGTGAGATATTGTCGAAAGAAAAGTATGTGATGTAATGGAGTGCAATGGAATGGAATGGAATGGAATGGGGTGCAATGGAATGGAATGGAATGGAATGGAATGGAATGGAATGGAATGGAATGGAATGGAATGGAGTGGAATGGAATGGAATGGAATGGAGTGGAATGGTGTGGAGTGGAGTGGAATGGAGTGGAAAGGAGTGGAATGGAAGGGGATGGAATGCAGGGTAGAGGAGTGGATTGGAGTGCAGTGGAATGGAATGGAAATGAGTGAAGTGGACTTGAGTGGAGTGGAGTTGAATAAAGTGGAATAGAATGGTGAAATGAAAGGTAAGCTGAGATTGTGCCACTGCACTCCAGCCTGTGTGACAGAGTGAGATCCTTTCAAAAGAAAGAATGGAATGTAATGGAGTGGAATTGAATCGAATGGAATGGAATGGAGTGGAGAGGAGTGGAGTGGAATAGAGTGGAATGGAATGGATTCAAATGAAATGGAATGGAATGGAATCGAGTGGATTGCAGTGGAGTGGAGTGTTGTGGAATGGAGTGGAGTGGAGGGGAGTCGTGTGGAAAGGAGTTGAATGGAATGGGATGGAGTGGAATGGAATGGAATGGAACGGAATGGAATGGAAGGGTGAAGTGAAATTTGAGGTGAGATTATGCCTCTACACTCCAGCCTGTTTGATAGAGTGAGATCCTGTCAAAAGAAAGGAAAGGAAAGGAGTGGAATGGAATGGAACAAAATGAAATAGAGGGGAGTGGAGTGGAGTGGACTGAAGTGGAGTGGAGTAGAGTGGAATGGAATGGAAGGAGATGGAATATTGAAATGAAATGTGAGCTGAAATTGTGCCACTGCACTCCACCCTGCGTGACAGAGTGAGATCCTGTCGAAAGAAAGCAAAGGAATGGAATGGAATGGAGTGGAATGGAATGGATTGGGATTTCATGGAGTGGAGTGGAGTGTGGTGTAGTGGAGTGGAGTGGTATGGAGTGAAATGAAATGGTGAAATGAAATGTGAGCTGAGATTGTACCACTGCATTCCTGCCTGTGTGACAGAGTGAAATACTGTCGAAATAAAGGAATGTAATGCAATGGAGTGGAAGGGAATCAAATGGAATGGAGTGAAATGGCATGGAATGGCAGTGAGTGGGGTGTAGTGGAGTGTTGTGGTGTGGAATGAAATGGGATGGAGTGGAATGGAATGGAGTGGAGTGGAATGGAATGGATTGGGATGGAATGGTATGGAACGGAGTGGAGTGGGGTGGAGTGGAGTGAAGTGGAATGGAGTGCAATGGAATGGTAAAATGAAGTGTGAGCTCAGATATTCCCACTGCACTCCAGCCTGTGTGAATGAGTGAAATCATTTCAAAAGAAAAGAATTCAAAGTAATGGACTGGAATTGAATGGAATGGAACAAAATAGAACGGAATTGGATGGAATGGCACGGAATGGAGTGGACTGGAGTGGATTGGAGTGGAATTAAATGGGATGGAGCGGAGTAGATTGGAGTGGAATGGAATGGAATGGAATGGAAAAGAATGGAATGGAATCGAGTGGAATAGAGTGGAGAGGAGTGGAATGGAATAGAGGGGAGAGGAGTGGAATGGAGTGAAATGAAACGGGATGTAATGGAACAAATTGGATTGGAGTGTTTTGGAATGGAGTGGAATGGACTGGAATGACATGGAGTGGAGTGGAGAGCAGTGCAGTGCAATGGATTGGAAATAAATGGAATGGAATGTAAGAGAATGGAGCAAAATGGAATGGAAAGGAAAGGAATGGAATGGAATGGAGTGGAGTGGAGAGGAGTGGAGTGGAGTGGACTGCAATGGAGTGGAATAGAATATGATGGAATGCAATGGAGAGGAGTGGAGTGGAGTGGATTGGAATTCCATGGAATGGAAAGGGATTGAGTGGAATAGAGTGGATTGTGCTAGATTGGAGTGGAGTGGACTGGAGTGGAATGGAGCAGAGTGGAGTGGACTGGAGTGGAGTGGAGGGTAATGGAATGGAATTAAATGGAACGGAAAGGAATGGTGAAACGAAATGTGAGCTGAGGTTTTGCCACTGCACTCCATCCTGAGTGACAGAGTGAGATCCTGTTGAAAGAAAGGAATGGAATGGAAGGGAGTGCAGTGGAATACAATGGAGTGGAGGGGAGTGGAGTAGATTGGCGTGGAATGGAGTGAAATGGAATGGAATGCAATGAGGCCGAGTGGAGTGGAGTGGAGTGGAATGGAATGGAATGAAGTGGAATGGAGTGGAATGCATTGTAATGGAATGCAATGGAATGTTGAAATGAAATGCGAGCTGAGTTTATGCCACGTTACTCCAGCCTTGGTGATAAAGTGAGATCCT
The DNA here is from genome assembly GCF_000001405.40 of Homo sapiens. Taxonomy (NCBI): domain Eukaryota; kingdom Metazoa; phylum Chordata; class Mammalia; order Primates; family Hominidae; genus Homo; species Homo sapiens. The sequence continues at coordinate 10,671,656 of NC_000024.10, read as the reverse complement.
GTCGAAAGAACAGAGTGGAATGGCAGAGAGAGGAATGGAGTGTAATGGAATGGAATGGATTGTAGTGGAGTGGAGTGGAGTGGAGTGGACTGGAAGAGAGTGGAATGGAATGGGATTGGGAGGAATGGAGTGGAGTGGAGTGGAAGGGGATGGAATGGAATGGAGTGGTGTGGAGTGTAGTTGAGTGGAATGGAATGCAACGGAGTGGAGTGGAGTGAAATGGAATTTAATAGAATGAAATGGAATGGAATTAAATGTAAAGGAATGGAATGAACTGGAATAGAATGGAAAGCAATAGAATGGAATGGAACAGTTTAATGAAAAGTGAGTTGAGATTGGGGCTCGGCATTCCAGCCCGAGTGACAGAGTGAGATCCAGTTGAAACAAAGGAATGGAATGAAATGGAGTGGAATGATATGGAGTGGAATGGCGTGGACTGATGTGGAGTGGAGTGGACTGGAGTGAAGTGGAGTGGAATGCAGTGGAATGGTATGGTGAAATGAAATGTGAGGTAAGATTGTGCTACTGAAATCAAGCCTGTGTCAAAGAGTGAGATTCTGTCGAAAGTAGGCAATGGAATAGAAAGGAGTTTAATGGAATGGAATGGAATGGAATGGAATGGAATGGAATGGAATGGAATGGAATGGAATGGAATGGAGTGGAAAAGAATGGAATGGAGTGGAAAGGAAAGGAATGGAGTGGAAAGGAATGGTGTGGAGTGGAGTGGTTTGGAATGGAGTGAAATGGGATGGAATGGAATGGAATGAAGTTGATTGGAGTGGACTGGAGTGGAGTGGAGTGGAATGGAGTGGCGTGGAACAGAACTGAACGGAATGTTACCTAATGGAATACAATGTTATGCACTGAAATGTAATGGAATGGAATGGAATGGTTAAATGTAAGGTGAGCTGAGATTGTGCCACT
>NC_000024.10:10651421-10669737 GCF_000001405.40 Homo sapiens | reverse complement strand
CTGAAGCGAGTGGAATGGAGTGGGATTCAGTGCAGTTGAGTGGAATGGAACACAAAGGAATGGAATGGAATGGAATGGAATGGTGAAATGTAATGTGAGCTGAGATTCTATCACTGAACTCCAGCCTCCGTGACAGTGTGAGATGATGTTAAAAGGAATGAATGGAATGGAATAGAGATGAATGGAATGGAACGGAATGGAATGGAATGGAATGGAATGGAATGGAATGGAATGGAATGGAGATGAATGGAATGGAATGGAATGGAATGGAATGGAATGGAATGGAATGGAATGGAATGGAATGGAGTGGAATGGAGATGAATGAAATGGAGATGAATGGAATGGAATGGAATGGAATGGAATGGAATGGAGTGGAATGGAATGGAATCGAATGGAACTGGAATGAAACGGGATGTAATGGAAAAAATTGGAGTGGAATGTAGTGAAATGGAGTGGATTGAACTGGAATGTAATAGAATGGAATGGCATGGAGTAGTGTGGAGAGGAGTGCAGTGCAATAGATTGGAATTAAATGGAACGTAATGTAATGGAATGAAGCAGAATGGAATGGAATGGAATGGTGAAGGAAATGTGAGCTGAGATTGTGCCACTGCACTCCAGCCTGAGTGACAGAGAGATATCCTGTAGAAGAAAAGGAATGGAATGGAATAGAGTGGAATGGAATGGAATGGAGAGTAGTGCACTGCAGTGGATTGTAGTGGAGTAGAACGGAAGGTGGTGGAGTGGAATGGAACGAAGTGGAGTGGAGTGCGGTGAAGTGGAGTTGAATGGAGCGGAATGCAATGGGATTGAATGGAGTGGAGTGCAGTGGAGTGATGTGGAGTGGAGTGGAGTGGAATGGAATGGAATGTAGAATGAAATGTGACCTGAGACTCTGTGACTGCACTCCAGCCAATGTGACAGAGTGAGATCTTGTTGACAGAAAAGCACAGAATGAAATGGAGTGGGATGGAATGGAATGGAGTGGAGTAGAGTGGAATGACATGGAATGGGATGGGATGCAATGGGATGGAGTGGAGAGGAGTAGAGTGGAGTGCAATGGAATGGAACGGAATGGAATGGAATGGAATGGAATGGAATGGAATGGAATGGAACGGAATGGAATGCAGCAGAGTGGAGTGGAGTGGAGTGGAATGGAAATTAATGAAATGGAATGGAATGCCATGGAATGGTAAAATGAAATGTGAGCTGAGATTGTGCCACTGCACTCCAGCCTGGGTGAAAAAGTGAGATTCTGTCAAAAGACAGGAATGGAATGAAAAAGAGTGGAAAGGAACGCAATGTAGTGGAGTGGAAAGGAGTGGAGTGGAGTGGATTGGCGTGAATGGAATGGGATGGAGTGGAATGGAATGGAGTGGAAAGGAGTGGAGTAGAGTGCAGTGGATTAGAGTGGAATGGAATGGGATGGAATGGAAAGAAGTTGAGTGGATTGGAGTGTTGTGGACTGGAGTGGAAATGAAAGGGAAGGAATGAAGCGGAGTGGAGTGGAGTGGGGTGAAGTGGAGTGGAGTGGAGTGGACTGAAATGGAATGGAATTTAAAGGAATGGAATGGAATGGAACGCTATGGTGAAACGAAATGTGAGCTGATATTGTTCAACTGCCTTTAACCTGGGTGACAGAGTGAGATTTTGTCGGAAGAAAGGAATGGAATGGAATGCAGCGGAATGGAATTGAGTGGAATGGAATGGAGTGGAATGGAGTGGAGTGGAGTGGAGTGGACTGGAATGGAGTTGAGTTTAGTGGAGTGGAAAGGAATTTATTGGAATAGAATATTATGGAGTGTAATGGAATAGAGTGGAGTGGAGTGGAGTTGAGTGGAGTGTATTGGAGTGGAATGGAGTAGAATGGAATCGAATGAAATGGAATACAGCAGACTGAAGTGGAATGCAATGGAATGGAATGGAATGGAATGCAATGGAATGGTTAAATGAAACGTGAGCTGAGATTGTGCCACTGTACTCCAGCCTGTGTGACAGTGAGAGATCCTGTCGAAAAAAAGGAATGTAATGGAATGGAGTGAAATGGAATGGAGTGGACTGGAGTAGAGTGGAGTGGAGTGGACTGGAACGAAGTACAGGGGACTGCAGTGTCGGGGAATGTATTGGATTAGAATGTTATGGAGTGTAATGTAACGGAGTGGAGTGGAATAGAGTGGAGTGGAGTGGACTGAAACGGAGTAGAGGGGAGTGGAGTGCAGGGGAATGAATTGGAATAGAATGTTATGGAGTGGAATGGAATGGAGCGGATTGTGGTGGAGTGGAGTGGAGTCGAGTGGAGTACATAGGAGTGGAATGGAGTGGAATGGAATCGAATGGAATGGAATGCAGCAGAGTGGAATGGAATGGAATGCAATGTATAAAATGGAATGATTAAATAAAACGTGAGCTGAGATTGTGCCACTGCACTCCAGCTAGGTGACAGAGAGACATCCTGTTGAATAATGGAATGGAATGGAAAGGAGTTGCATGGAATGGAATTAAGTGGAGTGCAGTGGATTGGCGTGAATGGAATGCAATGGAGTGGACAGGAGTGGAGTGGAGTGGACTGGAATGGAATCGAATGGGTTGGAATGGAAAGAAGAGGAGTGGAATGGAGTGGAATGGAGTGGAACAGAATGAGATGGAATGGAGAGGAGTGGACTGGAATTTAATGGAATTTTAGGGAATGGAATGGAATGGAATGGAATGGAATGGAATGGAATGGAATGGAATGGAATGGAACGGAATGGAACGGAATGGAACGGAACAGAACGGAATGGAACGGAATGGAATGGAATGGAGTGGAATGGAATGGAATGGAATGGAAGGGAATGGAACGGAATGCATTGGAGATGAGTGCAGTGGAGTGGAGTAGAGTGGAGAGGAGTGGAATGGAGTGAAATAGGACGGCATGGAATGGAATGAAGTGGCGTGGAGTGTAGTGGAATGGAGTTGAATTTAGTGGAAGGTACTGGAATGGAATGGAATGGCGTGGAGTGGAGAGGAGTGGATTGTAATTAAATGGAATGCAATGGAAGGAAATACAATGGAATGGTGAAATGAAATGTGACTGAGATTGTGCCACTGCACTCCAACCTGAGGGACAGAGTGAGATACTGTCGAAGAAAAAGAATGGAATGTAATAGAGTGGAATGGAATGGAATGGAAGGGAGTGGAGAGGAGTTGACTGGAGTGGAGTGGAGTGGAGGGGAATGGAATGGTAGGGAGTGAAATGGAATGGAGTAGAGTGGAGTGCAGTGAAGTGGAGTGGAATGCAGTGGAATGCAATGGCATAGAATGGAGTGGAGTGGAATGGAATAGAAAGGAAAGGTGAAATGAAATGTGAGCTGAAAGTGCAACACTGCACTACAGCCAGTGTGACAGAGTGAGATTTTCTCGACAGAAAGTAATGGAATGGAATGGAATGGAATGCAATGGAATGGAATGGAATGGAGTGGAGTAGAGTGGAGTGGAGTAGTGTGGATTTGAGTGGAATGGCTTGGAATGGGATGAGAGGGAATGCAATAGAGTGGAGTGGAGTGGAATTGAATGGGATGGAATGGGATGGAGTGTAGAGTAGTGGAGTAGAGTGAAGTGGAATGCAATGGAATGAAATGCAGCAGATTGGAATGGAATGGAATGGAATAGTATGGAATTGAATGGAATGCAATGTAATGGAATGATGAAATTAAATGTGAGCTGATATTGTGCCACTGCTCTATAGGCTGGGTGACAGAATGAGATCCTGTCGAAAGAAAGGAATGGAATGGATAGGAGTGGGATGAAATGGAACGTAATTGAATGGAGTGGACTGGAGTGAAGTGGAATGGAGTGGAATGGAAGGGAATTGAGTGGAGTGGAGTGGAATGGAATGGAATGGTGAAATGAAATATGAACTTAAATTTTGCCACTGTACTTTAGCCTGTGTGAGAGAGTGAGATCCTGTCAAAAGAAAGGAACGGAATGGAATGGAGTGGAACGGATTGGAATGGAAATGAACGGAGTGCAGTGGAGTGGAGTGGAATGGAGCAGAGTGGAATGGAATGGAATGAAGTGGAATGGAATGGAATAGAATGGAAAGGTGAAATGAAATGCGATCTGAGATTGTTCCACTGCACTGCAAGCAGGGTGAGAGAATGAGATCCTGGTGAAAGAAAGGAATGGAATTCAATGGAGTGTAATGGAATGGAGTGGAGTGAAGTCAAGTGGACAGAAGTGGAGTAGAGTGGAGTAGAGGGGAATGAAGTGGAATACAATTGGATGGAAGGGATTGGAATGGAGTGGAGAGTAGTGGAGTGCAGCGGAGTCAAGTGGAGTGCAGCGGAGTGGACTAGAGTGAAAAGGAATAGAAAGGAATGGAATGGAATGGAGTGGAATGTATTGGAGTTGAATGGAATGTAGTGGAATGGAATTGAATGAAATGGAATGGAATGCAATACAATTAATGGAATGCAACGGAATGTAATGGAATAGAACTGTGAAATGAAATGTGAGATGAGATTGTGCCACTGCACTCCAGCATGGGTGAGGGAGTGAGATTCTGTCGAAAGAAAGGAATGGAATGTAAGGGAGTGGAATGGAACGGATTGGAGTGGAGTGGAGAGGAGTGTAATGGAGTGGAGTTGAATGGAATGGAATGGAATGGAAAGGAGTGGAAAGAAATGGAATGAAATGGGATGGAACGAAATGCCATGGAATACAATGGAATGGTATGGAATGTAATGAAATGCAACGGAATGCAATGGAACGGAATACCATGGAATGGAGTGCAATGGAATGCAATGAAATAGCATGGTGAAATGTAATCTGATTGTGCCACTACACTCCAGCCTGGGTGAGAGAAAGAGATCCTTTCAAAAGAAAGGAATCAAATGGAAGGTGTGGAATGGAATGGAAGTGAGTGGAATGGAATGGAATGGAATGGAATGGAATGGAATGGAATGGAATGGAATGGAATGGAATGGGATGGGATGGAATGGCATGGAATGGAGTGGAGTGAAGTGGAGTTGACTGGAGTGGAATGGATTGGAATGGAATGAGATGGAGTGAAATGGAGTGGAGTGGAATGGAGTGGAGTGGCATGGAATTGGATGGAATGGAATGGAGTAGATTGGAGTGGAGTGGAGTGGAATGAAATGGAATGGAATGGAGTGGAATGGTGAAACGAAATGTGAGCTGATATTGGTCACTGCAGTGCAGCCTTTGTGACAGAGTGAGATCCTCTCGAAAGAAAGGAATGGAATGGAGTGGAATGTAATGTAATGGAATTAAATGGAGTGGAATGGACTGGAGTGGAGTGAAGTGGAGTGCAGTAGAGTAGAATGGAATGGAATGGAAAGGAATGGAATGGAATGGAATGGTAAAATGAAATGTGAGCGGAGATTGTGTCATTGCACTCCAGCCTGGTTGAGTGTGAGATGCTCATGAAAGAAATAGATGGAATGTAATAAAATGGAATGGAAGGGAATGGAAAGGAATGGATTGGAGAGGAGTACAGTGGAGTTGAGTGGAGCAGAGTGGAGAGGAGTGGAATGGAGTGAAATGGGACGGCATGGAATGCAATGAAGTGGAGTAGAGTTTAGTGGAATGGAGTGGAATGGAGTGAAATGGAGTGGAGTGGAATGGAATGGAATGGCGTGGAGTGGATTGCAATTAAATGGAAGGCAATGAAAGGAAATGCAATGGAATGGTGAAATGAAATGTGAGCTGAAATTGTGCCACTTCTCTCCAGCCTGAGGGACAGAGTGAGATACTTTTGAAAAAAAGGAATGGAATGTAATAGAGTGGAATGGATTGTAATGGAGTGGAGAGGAGTTGACTGGAGTGGAGTGCATTGGAGGGGAATGGAATGGTAGGGAGTGGAATGGAATGGAGTGGAGTGGAGTGCAGTGAAATGGAGTGGAATGGAGTGGAATGCAATGGGATGGAATGGAGTGGAATGGAGTGCAGTTGACTGGAATGGAATGGAATGGAATGGAATTGGATGGAATGTGATGAAGTGTAGAGGAATGGAGTAGTGTGGAGTGGAATGGAGAGGAATGGAATGGAATGGAATGGAAAGCAGCAGGGTGGAGTGGAGTGGAGTTGAGTGGAGTGGAATGTAATGGAACAGAATGGAAAGGAATGCAATTGAATGGAATGCAATGGAATGGTGAAATGAAATGTGAGTTAAGATTGTGTCACTGCACTTCAGACTGGGTGCCAGAGTGAGATCTTCTCAAGAGAAACGAATGGAAAGGAAAGGAGTGGAATGGAATGCAATTTAATGGAATGGAGTGCAGTGGAGTGGACAGGAGTGGAGTGGAGTGAGGTGGAGTGGAGTGGAATGGAATGGAATGGAAAGAAGTGGAGTGGAGTGGAATGGAATGGGATGGAATGGAGTGGAGTAGAGTGGTGTGGACTGGAATGGGATGGAATGGAGTGGAGTAGAGTGGTGTGGAGTAGAGTGAGTGAAGTGGAGTAGAGTGGAGTGGACTAGAATGGAATGGAATTTAAAGGAATGGAGTGGTGTGGAATGGCACGGAATACTATAGTGCAATGAAATGTGAGCTGAGATTGTGCCACTGCACTCGAACCTGGCAGACAGAATAAGATCCTGTCAAAAGAAAGGAATGCAATGGAAAGGAGTGGAATGGAATGGAACGGTATGGAGTGAACTGGAGTGGAGTGGAGTGGAGTTGATTGGTTTGAACGGAATGGGATGGAATGGAATGGAATGGAGTGGACAGGAGTGGAGTGGAGTGGATTGCAGTGGAATGGAATGGGATGGATGGTAAAGAAGTGGAGTGGAGTGGAATGGAGTGGAATGGAATGGATGGAAAGGAGTGGAGTGGTGTGGAGTGGAGTGAAATGGAGTGGAGTGGACTGTAATGGAATGGAATTTAAAGGAATGGAGTGGGATGGGATGGAATGGAATGGTATGGTGCAATGAAATGTGAGCTGAGATTTTTCCACTGCACACCAACTTGGGTGAAAGAGTGAGATCCTGTCGAAAGAAAGGAAAGTAATGGAATGGAGATGAATGGAATGGAGTGGAGTGTACTGGAGCAGAGTGGACTGGAGTGGAGTAGAATGGAGTGGAGTGGAGAGGAATGGAATGGAATGGAATGCAATGGAATGCAATAGAATGGAACGGAGTGCAATGGAATGCAATGGAATAGAATGTCGAAATGAAATGTGAGCCGAGATTGTGCCACTACACTCCAGCCTGTGTGAGAGAATGAGATCCTGTCGAAAGAAAGGAATGGAATGTAAGGGAGTGGAAAAAAAATGGAAGGGAGTGGAATGAAATGGAATGCAGTACAGTGGAATGAAGTGCAGTTGAGTGGAGTGGAATGGAGTGGAATGGAATGAGATGGAGTGGAAAGGAGGAGTGTGGAGTGGAGTGGAATGGAGAGGAGTGGAATGGAATGGCATGCAATGGAATGGAGTGAATTGGAGTGGAGTGGAGTGGAATGGAGTAGAGGGAAATTGAATGGGATGAATGGGATGGAATGGAATGGAGTGTAATGGAGTGGAGTGGATTGGAATGGAGTCGAGTGAAATGGAATGGAATGGAATGCAATGGAGTGGCGTGCAGTGGAGTGGAGTGCAGTGGAGTGGAAATGGAATGGAATGGAATGGAATCCAATCGAATCGAATGGTGAAATGAAATGAGAGCTGAGACTGGGCCAGTGCAGTGGAACCTGTGTGACAGAGTGAGATCCTTTTGATAGAAAGGAAAGAAATAGAATGGAGTCGAATGGAAAGGAAAGGAATTTAATAGAGTGGAATGGAGTGCAGTGGAGTGGATTGAAGTGGAATGGAATGGGATAGAATGAAATGGAATGAAGTGGAGTGGAGTGGAGTGGTGGGGAAAGGAGTATAATGGAATGGGATGGATTGGAATGAAGTGGAGTGGAGTAGAATTGAGTGGAATGGAATGGTATGGAATGCAGTGGAGTGGAGTGAAGTAGAGTGCAGTGGAGTGGAATGCAATCGAATGGAGTGGAGTGAAGTCAAGTGGAGTGGAATGGAATGGCATGGAATGGAGTGGAGTGGAGTGGAGTGGAATGGAGTGGAATGGAATGGGATGAAATGGCATGGAATGGAGTGGAGCATAGTGGAGTGGAATGAGATGGAATGTAGTGGAAGGGAGTGGAGTGGAGTGCAGTGGAGTGGAGTAGACTGGAGTGGAATGGAATGGAATGGAGTAGAAAGGAATGGAATGGAAAGGAGTAGAAAGGAATGGAATGGAAAGGAGTGAAATGGAATGGAATGCAATGGTGAAATGTAATGTGAGCTGAGTTTGTGCCTCTTCACTACAGCCAAGGTGAGAGAGTGAGATCCTGTCAAAAGAAAGGAATGGAATGGAACGAAATGGAATGGAATGGAAGGGAATGCACTGGGATGGAATGGAATGGAATGGGATGCAATGGAATGGGATGGATTGGAATGGAATGAAGTGGAGTGGAGTGGTGTGGTGTGGAATGGAGTGCAATGAACTGGGATGGAATGGAATGGAATGGAGTGGCGTGTAGTGGAGTGAAGGGCAGTGCAGTGGAATGGAGTGGAATGGAATGGCATGGACTGTAATGAAGTGGAGTGGACTGGAGTGGAGTGGACTGAAGTTGAATGAAGTGGAGTTGAGTGGATTGGAGTGGTGTCGAATGGAGTGGAATGGACTGAAATGGAATTGAATGGAGTGGAATGGCGTGGATTAGTGTGGAGTGGAGTGGACTGAAGTGTAGTGGAATGTAGTGGAATGGAATGGTCAAATGAAATGTGAGATGAGATTGTGCTACTGCATTCCAGGTTGTGTCACAGAGAGAGATCCTATCTAAAGCAGGGAATGGAATGGAATGGAGTGGGCTGGAATAGATTCTGTTGGAATGCAATGGAATGGAGTGGAGTGGAGTGGTGTAGAATGGAGTGGAATGGACTGGGATGGAATGGAATGGAATGGAGTGGCATGGAATGGAATGGAATGGAATGGAATGGAATGGAATGGAATGGAAAGGTGGAGTGAAATTTGAGGTGACATTGTGCCACTACACTCCAGCCTTTTTGACGGAGTGAGATCCTGTCAAAAGAAAGGAAAGGAATGGAAAGAAGTGGAATGGAATGGAATGTGGTGGAATGGAATAGAATGGAATGGAATGGAATGAGATGTAATGGAACAGAAGGGAATGGAATGGAAGGGAATGGAATGGAATATAGAGGATTACAGTTGAGTGGATTGGAGTGGAGTGGAATTGAATGGAATGGAATGGAATGTGATGTAATGGAATTGAGTAGATTGGAGTGGAGTGGAGTGGAATGGAGTGGGATAGAATGAGATGTAATGTAGAGGAGTGGAGAGGAGTGGAGTGAAGTGGAGTGGAATGGAGTGCAATGCAGTGGAGTTGATTGAAGTTGAGTAGAATGGAAAGGAATGCAGTGGAATGGAATGCAATGGTATGGAATGGAATGGAATGGAATGGAAAGGAATGGAATGGAATGGAATGGTGGAGTGAAATTTGAGGTGAGATTGTACCACTACACTCCAGCCTGTTAGATGGAGTGAGATCCTGTCAAAAGAAAGGAAAGCAATGGAAAGGAGTGGAATGGAATGGAATGGAATGGAATGGAATGGAATGGAAAGGAATGGAATGGTGGAGTGAAATTTCAGGTGATATTGTGCCACTACACTCCAGCCTGTTTGACGGAGTGAGATCCTGTCAAAAGAAAGGAAAGGAATGGAAAGGAGTGGAATGGAATGGAATGGAGTGGAATGGAATAGAATGGAATGGAATGGAATGTGATGTAATGGAACAGAAGGGAATGTAATGGAAGGTTATGGAATGGAATATAGAGGATTGCAGTTGAGTGGATTGGAGTGGAGTGGAATTGAATGGAATGGAATGGAATGTGATGTAATGGAATTGAGTAGATTGGAGTGGAGTGGAGTGGAATGGAGTGGGATAGAATGAGATGTAATGTAGAGGAGTGGAGAGGAGTGGAGTGAAGTGGAGTGGAATGGAGTTCAATGCAGTGGAGTTGGTTGAAGTTGAGTAGAATGGAATGGAAAGGAATGGAATGGAATGGAATGGTGGAGTGAAAATTGAGGTGAGATTGTACCACTACACTCCAGCCTGTTTGATGGAGTGAGATCCTGTCAAAAGAAAGGAAAGGAATGGGAAAGAGTGGAATGGAATGGAATGGAATGGAATGGAATGGAATGGAATGGAATGGAATGGAATGGAATGGAATAGAATGGAAAGGTGAAATGAAATGCGAGCTGAGATTGTTCCACTGCACTGCAAACAGGGTGAGAGAATGAGATCCTGGTGAAAGAAAGGAATGGAATTCAATGGAGTGGAATGGAATGGAGTGGAGTGAAGTCAAGTGGACAGAAGTGGAGTAGAGAGGAGTGGAGGGGAATGAAGTGGAATACAATGGGATGGAGAGGATTGGAATGGAGTGGAGAGTATTGGAGAGCAGCGGAGTGATGTGGAGTGCAGCAGAGTGGACTAGAGTGGAAAGGAATAGAAAGGAATGGAATGGAATGGAATGGAATGGAATGGAATGGAATGGAATGGAGTGGAACTTATTGCAGTTGAATGGAATGTAGTGGTGTGGAATTGAATGAAATGGAATGGAATGGAATATAATTAATGGAATGCAACGAAATGTAATGGAAAAGAACTGTGAAATGAAATGTGAGGTGAGATTGTGCCGCTGCACTCCAGCATGGGTGAGGGAGTGAGATTCTGTCGAAAGAAAGGAATGGAATGTAAGGAAGTGGAATGGAATGGATTGGAGTGGAGTGGAGAGGTGTGTAATGCAGTGGAGTTGAATGGAATGGAATGGAATGGAAAGGAGTGGAAAGGAATGGAAGGAAATGGAATGCAAAGAAATGCAATGGAATACAATGGAATGGTATAGAATGTAATGGAATGCAACGGAATGCAATGGAACGGAATACCATGGAATGGAGTGCAATGGAATGCAATGGAATAGCATGGTGAAATGTAATGTGAGCTCAGATTGTGCCACTACACTCCAGCCTGGGTGAGAGGAAGAGATGCTTTCAAAAGAAAGGAATCAAATGGAAGGTGTGGAATGGAATGGAAGTGAGTGGAATGGAATGGAATGGAATGGAATGGAATGGAATGGGATGGAATGGCATGGGATGGGATGGAATGGAATGGGATGGAATGGAATGGAATGGAATGGAATGGAATGGGATGGAATGGAGTGGAGTGAAGTGGAGTTGACTGGAGTGGAATGGATTGGAATGGAATGGGATGGAGTGGAATGGAGTGGAGTGGAGGGGAGTGGAATGGAGTGGAGTGGCATGGAATTGGATGGAATGGAATGGAGTAGATTGGAGTGGAGTGGAGTGGAATGGAATGGAATGGAATGGAATGGAATGGAATGGAATGGTGAAACGAAATGTGAGCTGATATTGGCCACTGCAGTGCAGCCTTTGTGACAGAGTGAGATCCTGTCGAAAGAAAGGAATGGAATGGAGTGGAATGTAATGTAATGGAATTAAATGGAGTGGAATGCAGTGGAGTGGAATGGTGTGAAATGGAATGGAATGGACTGGAGTGGAGTGGAGTGGAGTGCAGTAGAGTAGAATGGAATGGAATGGAAAGGAATGGAATGGAATGGTAAAATGAAATGTGAGCTGAGATTGTGTCATTGCACTCCAGCCTGGTTGAGTGTGAGATGCTGTTGAAAGAAACAGATGGAATGTAATAAAACGGAATGGAAGGGAATGGAAAGGAATGGATTGGAGAGGAGTACAGTGGAGTTTAGTGGAGTAGAGTGGAATGGAGTGAAATGGGACGGCATATAATGGAATGAAGTGGAGTGGAGTTTAGTGGAATGGAGTGGAATAGAGTGAAATGGAATGGAGTGGAATGGAATGGAATGGCGTGGAGTGGATTGCAATTAAATGGAAGGCAATGAAAGGAAATGCAATGGAATGGTGAAATGAAATGTGAGCTGAAATTGTGTCACTGCACTCCAGCCTGAGGGACAGAGTGAGATACTTTTGAAAAAAAGGAATGGAATGTAATAGAGTGGAATGGATTGTAGTGGAGTGGAGAGGAGTTGACTGGAGTGGAGTGCATTGGAGGGGAATGGAATGGTAGGGAGTGGAATGGAATGGAGTGGAGTGGAGTACAGTGAAGTGGAGTGGAATGGAGTGGAATGCAATGGGATGGAATGGAGTGGAGTGGAGGTGAAAGGAGTGGAAAGAAATGTTGAAATGAAATGTGAGCTGAAAGTGCGACACTGCACTACAGCCAGTATGAGAGTGAGATTTTCTAGACAGAAAGAAATGGAATGGAATTGAATGGAATGGAATGGAATGGAATGGAATGGAATGGAATGGAGTGGAGTGGAGTGGAGTGGAGTGGAGTGGAATGGAATGCAATGGAATGGAATGGAATGCAATGGAATGGAATGGAATGGAATGGAATGGAATGGAATGGAATGGAATGGAGTGGAGTTGAGTGGAGTGGAGTGGTGTGGATTTGAATCGAATGGCGTAGAATGGGATAGGAGGGAATGCAGTAGAGTATACTGGAGTGGAGTGGATTGCAATTGAATGGGATGGAATGGGATGGAGTATAGAATAGTGGAGTAGAGTGGAGTGGAATGGAGTGGAATGGAATGGAATGCAGCAGAGTGTAATGGAATGCAATGGAATGCAATAGAATGGAATGCAATGGAATGGGGAAATGAAATGTGAGCAGAGATTGTGCCACTGCACTCCAGGCTGGGTGAGAGAGTGAGATCCTGTTGAAAGAAGGGAATGGAATGGATAGAAGTGGAATGAAATGGAATGTAATTGAATGGAGTGGACTGGAGTGAAGTGGAGTGGAGTGGAATGGAATGGAATTGAGTGGAGTGGAGTGGAATGGAGTGGATAGAATAGAATGGAATGGAATGGTGAAATGAAATGAGAGGTGAGACTTTGCCACTGCACTTCAGCCTATGTGGCAAAGTGAGATCCTGTCAAAAGAAAGGAATAGAATGAAATAGAGTGGAATGGATTGGAATGGAAGTGAATGGAGTGTAACGTAGTGGAATGGAGTTTATTGGAATGGAGTGGAGTGGAATGAAATGGAATAGAATGAAATGGTATGGAATGGAATGGAATACAACGGAAAGGTGAAACGAAACGGGAGCTGAGATTGTTCCACTGCACTGTAAACTGGGTGAGAGAGTGAGATCCTGTAGAAATAAAGGAATGGAATTCAAAGGAGTGGAAAGGAATGGAGTGGAATGAAGTGGAGTGGACAGGAGTGGATTACAGTGCAGTGGAGGGGAATGAAGTGGAAAACAATGGGATGGAGGGGATTGGAATGGAGTGGAGAGTAGTGGAGAGGAGTGGAGTCGAGTGGAGTGCAGTGGAGTGGACTGGATTGGAAAGGAATGGAATGGAATGGAATGGAGTGGAGTGGAGTGTATTGGAGTTGAATGGAGTGTAGTGGAATGGAATTGAATGAAATGGAATGGAATGGAATACAATTAATGGAATGCAATGAAATGGAATGCAATGTAATGGAATGGAATAGAGTGGTGAAATAAAATGTGAGGTGAGATTGTGCAACTACAATCCAGCCTGGGTGAGGGAGTGAGATCCTGTCGAGAGAAAGGAATGGAATGTAAGGGAGTAGAATGGAATGGATTGGATTGGAGTAGAGTGGAGTGGAATGGGATGGTGTGAAATGGAGTGGATTGGATTGGAGTGGAGTGGAGTGAAATGGAATAGAATGGAGTGGAATGTAATGCAGTGGAATGGAGTGGAGAGTAGTGGAATAGAATAGAATGGAATGGAATGGAATGGAATGGAATGGAATGGAACAGAATAGAATGGATTGGGATGGTGTAATGAAATGTGAGTTGAGATTGTGACACTGCACTCCAGCCTGGGTAACAGAGTGAGATCCTGTCGAAAGAAAGGAACGGAATGGAATGGAGTGGAATGGAATGGAGCGGAATGGCGTGGATTGGTGAGGAGTACAGTGGAGTGGAATGATGAGGAATGGTACAGTGAAATGATATGTGAGATGCGATTTTGCTATTGCATTCAAGCCTGTTTCACAGAGTGAGATTCTGTAGAAAGTAGGGAATTAAATGGAATGGAGTTTAATGGAATGGAATGGAATGGGATGGAATGGAGTAGAGTGGATTGGAGTGGAGTGGAGGAGAGTGAAGTGGTGTGAAATGCAGTGGAATGTAATAGGATGGAAATGAATGGAGTGGAGTTTAGTGGACTGGAGTGGAGTGGAGTGGAATTGAGTGGAGTGGAGTGGAATGGGATGGAATGGAATGGAAAGGAATGGAACCGTTAAAATAAATGTAAGCTGAGATTGTGCCACTGCATTCCAGCCTGGATGACAGAGTGAGATCCTGTCAAAAGAAAGGAATGTAATATAATGGACCGTAATGGAATGGAATGTAATGGAGTGGAGTGGAGTCGAGTGGAGTGGAGTGGAATGTGATGTAATGGTAAGGAACGGAATGGAGTGGAGTGGCATGGAAGGGATGGAATGGAATCGGATGGAATGGAGAGGAGACGAGTGGCGTGGAGTACATTGGAATTGAATGGAATGGAGTGAAGTGGACTTGAGTGGAGTGGAGTGGAATGGAGTGGAATGGAATGGAATGGAATGGAATGGAATGGAATGGAGTAGAGAAAAGTGGAGTGGAATGGAGTGGAATGGCATGGAATGCAGCGGAATGGTAAAATGAAATGTGAGCTGAGATTATGCCACTGCGCTCCAGCCTGTATGGCAGAGTGAGATCCTGTTGAAAGAAGGAATGGAATTTAATGGAGTGGAGTGGAATAAAGTGGAGTGGAATGGAATGTTATGGAATGGAAAGGAATGGAGTGGAGTGGAGTCTAGTGTGGAATCGAGTGGAGTGGAGTAGAGTGGCGTGGAATAGAGTGGAATGAAATGGGATGGAATGGAATGGAATGGAATAGAGTGGAGGGGAGGGTAATGTAGTAGAGTTGAGTGGAATTGAATGGAATTGAATGGAATGGAATGGAATGTTGAAACGAAATGTTAGCTGAGATGGCGCTACTGCACTCCAGCCTGCATGACAGAGTGAGATGTTGTCGAATGGAAGGAATGGAATGGAATGGAGTGGAATGGAGTGGAATGGAATGGAATGGAATGGAATAGAGTAGAGAGGAGTGGAGTGGAGTGGAGTAGAGTGAAGAGTGGAATGGAGTGGAATGAGACAGGATGTAATGGTATATAGCGTAGTGGAGTGGAGCAGAATGGAGTGGAATGGACTGGAATGTAATAGAATGGAATGGCATGGAGTGGAGTGGAGTGGAATGGATTTGAACTAAATGGAATGGAAGGGAATGGAATGCAATGGAATGGTGAAATGAAATGTGAGCTGAGAGTGTGCACTGTACTCCAGCCTGAGTGAAAGAGTCAGATCCAGTCTAGGAAAAGGAAGGGAATGGAATGGAGTGGAATGGAATGGAGTGGAGAGTAGTTGACAGGAGTGGAGTGGAGTGGAGTGGAGTGTAATGGAATTGTATGGAGTGGAATGGAATGGAGTGCAGTGGAGTGCAGTGAAGTGTAGTGGAATGGAGTGGAATGCACTTGAATGGAGTGGAGTGGAGTGGAGTGGAGTGGAGTGGAGTGGAGTGGAATGGAATAGAATAGAGAAATGAAATGTGAGCTGAGATGGTGCCACTGCACTCCAGCCAGTATGAGAGACTGAGATCTTGTTGACAGAAAGGAATGGAATGGAATAGAGTGGAATGGAATGGGATTGAATGGAGTGGAGTGGAGTGCAGTTTAGTGGAGTGGAGTTGAATGGAGTGGAATGAGATGGGATGGAATGAAATGAAAAGGAGTGGAGTGGAATGGAGTGGAATGGAACGGGATGGAATAGGATAGAGTGGAGAGGAGTGGAGTAGAGTGGAGTGGAATGAAATGGGAAGGAGAGGAATGGAGTGGAGTGGAGTGGAATGGAGTGGAGTGGAATTGAAAGGGATGGAATGGAATAGAGTGGATTGGAGTAGTGTGGAGTGGAGTGGAGTGGAATGGAGTCGAATGGAATGGAATGTAATAGAATGAAATAGATTTGACTGGAATGCAGTGGAGAGGAATGGAATAGAATGGAATGGAATGGAATGGTGAAGTGAAATGTGAGCTGAGATTGGAAAAGTGCAGTTGAGCCTGTGTGACAGAGTGAGATCCTGTCGAAAGAAAGGAATGGAATGGAATGGAGTAGAATAGAATGAAATGGATTGGAATGTATTGGAGTGGAGTGGAGTGGAGTGGAATGGAGTGGCATGGAATCGGGTGGAATGGAATGGAATGAAGTGGAGCGGAGTGGTGTTTTATGGAGTGGAATGGAACGGGATGGATTGGAATGAAGTGGAAGGGAGTGGAGTAGAATGGAGTGGAATGGAATGGAAGCGAACGGAGTGGAGTGGAGTACAGTGGATTGCTATGGAGTGGAATGGAATGGAATGGAATGGAATGGTGAAATGAAAAGTTAGCTGAGATTTTGCCAGTGCACTCCAGCCTGTGTGATAGAGTGAGATGTTGAAAGAAAGGAATGGAATGGAATGGAATGGAATGGAATGGAATGGAATGGAATGGAATGGAATGGAACGGAATGGAATGCATTGGAATGGAATGGAGGGGAGAGGAGTACAGTGGAGTAGATTAGAGTGGAGGAGTGGAATGGAGTTGAATGGAACTGGATGGACTGGAATATAGCAGAGTGGAGTGGAGTGGAATGGAGTGGAATGTACTGGAATGGAATGGAATGGAATGGAATGGAATGGAATGGAATGGAATGGCATGCAGTGGAGTGGAGTGTAGTAGATCGGAATTAAATGGAATGGAATGGAATGCAACGGAATGCAATGGAATGGTGAAATGAATCTTGAGCTGAGATTGTGCCACTGTACTTCAGCCTGAGGGACAGAGTGAGATCCTGTCGAAGAAAAGGAATGGAATGCAATAGAGTGGAATGGAATGGAATGCAATGGAGTGGAGCGTAGTTGAGTGGAGTGGAGTGGAGTGGACGGGAATGGAATGGTATGGCGTGGAATGGAGTGGAGTGGAGTGCAGTGAAATATAGTGGAATGGAGTGGAATGCAATGGGATGGAATTGACTGGAGTGGAGTGGAATTGAGTAGAGTAGAATGAAATGGATTGGTGTAATGAAATGTGAGCTGAGATTCTGCCACTGCACTCCAACCGGTGTGACAGAGTTAGATCTTGTAGACAAAAGGAATGGAATGGAATGAAATGGAATGGAACGAAATGGAATGGAATGCAATGGAATGGAATGGAGTAGAGTGGAGGGTGGTGGAATGGTGTGGAATGTAATTGAAAGGAATGGAATGGAATGGAAAAGTGAAATGAATTGTGAGCTGAAATTGTGACACTGCACTCCAGCCTAAGTGACAAAGTGAGATCCTGTTGAAGACAGAATGGAATGGAATGGAGTGGAATGGAATGAAATGGAATTGAATGGAGTGGAGTGGAGTGGAGTGGAATTCAGTGGAAAGGAATGGGATGGAATAGAATGGAATGGAGTGCAGAAGAGTGGATTGGTGTGAACTGGAGTGGAATGGAGTGGGAAAGAGTGGAATGGAATGGAATGGAATGGAATGGAATGGAATGGAATGGAATGGAATGGAGTGGAGTAGAGTGATGTGCAGTGCAGTGGAGTGGAATGGAATGGAATGGAATGGAATGGAATGGAATGGAATGGAATGGAATGGAATAGTGAAGTGAAATGTGAGCTGAGATTGTGCCACTGCACCCCAGCCTGCGTGACATAGTGAGATGTTGTCAAAAGGAAGGAATGGAGTGCAATGGAGTGGAATGGAATGGAATGGAATAATGTGGAGAGGAGTGAAGTGGAGTGGAATTGGACGGGATATAATGTAATATAGTGGAGTGGAGTGGAGTTGAATGGAGTGGAATTAACTGGAAAGTAATGGAATGGAATGGCATGGAGTGGATTGGAATTGACTGGAATTAAAGGGAATGGTATGGAATGCAATGGAATAAAATGGAATGGTGAAATGAAATGTGAGCTGAGATTGTGCCACTGCACTCCAGCCTGAGTGACAGAGCGAGATCCTGTCGAAGAAAAGGAATGGAATGGAATGGAGTGGAATGGAATGGAGTGGAGAGAAGAGGACAGGAGTGGAGTGCAGTTGAGGGGAATGGAATGATATGGAGTGGAATGAAATGGAGTGGAGTGCAGAGAAGTGGAGTGGAATGGAGTGGAATATAATTGGATTGAGTGGAGTGGAGTGGAGTGAAATGGAGAAATGAAA
>NC_000024.10:10645833-10649989 GCF_000001405.40 Homo sapiens | reverse complement strand
ACAGTTGAGTGGAGTGGAGTGGAGTTGAGTGGAGTGGAGAGGAATGGAGTGGAGTGGGGTGGAGTGGAGTGGAGTGGAGTTGAGTGGAGTGGAGAGGAATGGAGTGGAGTGGGGTGGAGTGGAGTGGAGTGGAATGGAATGGAATGGAATAGTGAAATGAAATGTGAGCTGAGATTCTTCCACTGCCCTCCAGCCTGTGTGACAGAGTCAGATCCTTTCAAAATAAAGGAATAGAATAGAATGGAATGGAGTGGAATGGAATGGAATGGAATGGAATGGAATGGAATGGAATGGAATGGAATGGAATGGCATGGCATGGAATGGAATGGAATGGCATGGAATGGAATGGCATGGAATGGAATGGCATGGAATGGAATGGAATGGAATGGATTGGAATGGAATGCAATGCAATGGTGAAATGTAATGTGACTTGACATTATGCGACTGCAGTCCAGCCTGGTTGACAGAGTGAGATACTGTCAAAAGAAAGGAATGGGATAGAGCAGAGTGGAATCAAATGAAATGGAACGGAATGCTGAAATGAAATGTGAAAAGAGATTCTGCCACTATACTCCAACCTTCGTGACAGAGTGATAACCTGTCGAAAGAAAGGAATGGAATGGAATGGACTGGTATGGAATGGAATGTAGTGGAGTGGAGTGGAGTGGGGTGGAGAGGAATGGATTGGGGTGGAGTGGAGTGGAGTGGAGTGGAATGGAATGGAATGGAATGGAATGGTGAAACGAAATCTGAGCTGATATTGTGCCACTGCACTCCAGCTTGTGTGACTGATTGAGACCATGTCGAAAGAAAGGAATGGAATGGATTGGAGTGGAATGGAATGGATTGGAGTGGAATGGAATGGATTGGAGTGGAATGGAATGGAACAGAATGCAACGGAAAGGAATGGAATGGAATGGAATGGAATGGAATGGAATGGAATGGAATAGAATGGAATGGAATGGAATGGAACAAAACGGAATGGAACGGAATGGAATGGAATGGAATGGAGTGGAATGGAATGGAATGGAATGGAATGGAATGGAATGGAATGGAATGGAATGGGAAGGAATGGCATGGAATAGAGTGGAGTGGAGTGGAATGAAATGGAATAGAGTGGATTGGAATGGAGTGGAGTAGCATAGAGTGGAGTGGAGTGGAGAGGTGTGTAGTGGAATGGAATGGAGTGGAGTGAAATGGAATGGAATGCAATGGTGAAATCTAATGTGAGCTGTGAATGTGCCCCTGCACACCAGCCTGCGAGACAGAGTGAGATCCTGTCAAAAGAAAGTATTGGAAAGGAAAGGAGTGGAATGCAGTGGAAAGGAATGGAATGGAATGGAGTGTAGTGGAGTGGAGTGGAGCGCAATGTAATGGAGAGGAATTGAACTGAATAGAATGTAATGGAATGGAATCGAATGGAATGGAAAGGAATGGAGTGCAATGGAATGGAATGGCGGGAGAAGGAGTGTTGTGGAGTGGAGTTTAATGGAGTGGAATGGAAAGGGATGGAGTGGAATGGAATGAAGTGGAGTGGAGTGAAGTGGAGTGGAATGGAGTGGAGAGGAATGGAGTGGAATGGAATGGGATGGAGTGGAATGGAGTGGAATGGACTGGATTGGAGTGATGTGGAATGGAGTGGAATGGAGTGGAGAGGAGTGGACTAGAGTGGAGTGTAGTGGAATGGAATGGAATTTAATGGAATTTAATGGAATTGTGAAATGAAATGTGTGCTGAGATTGTGCCACTGCACTCCAGTCTGGGTTTCAGAGTGGGATAATTTCGAAAGAAAGAAATCAAATGGAATGAAGTGGAATGGAATTGAATGGAGTGGAGTGGAATGGAGTTCAATAGAATAGGATGGAATGGAATGGAATGGAATGGAATGGAATGGAATGGAATGGAATGGAATGGAATGGAGTGGAGTGGAGTGGAGTGGAGTGGAGTGGAGTTTAATGGATTGGAAAGGAATTTGATTTAATGGAATAAAATGGAGTGGAGTGGAGTTGAGTAGAGTGGAATGGAGTGGAACTCAATGGGATGGAATGGAGTGGAGTTGAGTGGAGTTGAGTGGAATGCAATGGAATGTAATGTAATGGTGAAATGAAATGTGAGATGAGATTGTTCCACTGAGCTCCAACCTGGGTGACAGAGTGAGATTCTGTTGAAGGAAAAGAATTGAATGGAATGGAGTTGAATGGAATGGAATGGAGTGTAATGGAGTGGAGTGGAGTAGAGTGGAGTGGACTGGAGTGTAGTAGAGTGGAGTGGAGTTGAGGGGGTTGCAGCCGAATAGAATGGGATGCATAGGAATGGAATGATGTGGAGTGGAGTGGAGTGGAGTCGAATGGAGAGCAGTGGACTGCAAATGCAGTGGAATGGAATGGAATGGAATGGAATAGAATGGTTTGGAGTGGAGTGGAATGGAATGGAATGGAATGGAATGGAATGGAATAGAATGGTTTGGAGTGGAGTGGAATGGAATGGAATGGAATGGAATGGAATGGAATGGAATGGAATGGAATAGAACGGAGAAATGAAATGTGAGCTGAGATTCACCACTGCACTCCAGCCTGGGTGAGAGAGTGAGATCCTGCCTAAAGAAAGGAATGTAATGGAGTGGAGTAGAATGTAATGAAGTGGATAGGAGGGGAATGGAGTGGAGTGGAGTGGAATGGAATGGAGTGGAATGGGATGGAATGGAATGGAATGGAAAGGAATGGAATGGAAACGAGTGGAATGGAATGGATTCCAACTGAATGAAATGAAATGGAATGGAATGGAATGGAATGGAATGGAATGGAATGGAATGGAATGGAATGAAAAGGGTTGGAATGGAATGGAATGGAGTGAAGTGGAATGGTTTTGAAAGGAGTGGAATGGAATGGGATGGAATAAAATGGAATGTAGTGGAGTGGAGTGCAGTGGAGTGGATGGAGTGGAAAGGATTGAGATGGAGTGTATTGAAGTGGAGTGTATGGCAGTGGAGTTGAGGGGAGTGGATTGGAGTTTAGTTGAGTGGAATTGAGTGGAGTGGAATGCAGCAGAACAGTACAGAACAGAACGCAATGGAATGGAATTGTGAAATGAAATGTGAGCTGAGATTGTGTCACTGCATTCCGGCCTGGGTGACAGCGTGAGATTCTGTCAAAAGAAAGGGATATAATGTAATGGAGTGTATTGGAATGAAATGGAATGGAATGGAGTGGAGTCGATTGGCGTGGAATGAAGTGGAGTGGAATATGATGTAATGGAAAGGAACGGAGTGTAGTGTAGTGGATTGGATTGGAGTGGAATGGAATGGGATTGAATAGAGAGGAGTGGAATGGAGTGGAATATAATGGAATAGAAAGGAATGGTGAAATGAAATGTGATCTAGATTGTGGCACTGCCCTCCAGCCTGTGTAACAGAGTGAGATCCTATTTAAAGAAAGGAATGGAATACAATGAAGTGGAGTGGAATGGAAAGGAATTGAATGGAGTTGAGTGGAGTGGAATGGAATGGAGAGGAATGGGATGGAATGGAATAGAATGGAATGGAATGGAGTGGAGTGGAGTGGCGTGGAGTGGAGTGGAGTGGAGTCGAGTGGAAAGGAATGGGATGGAATACAATGAAATGGAGTGGAGCCTAGTGGAGTGCATGTAGTGGAATGGAATGGAATGAAATGGGATGGAATGGAGGGCAGTGGAGTGGAATGGAGTGGAATTGAATGGAATGCAATGGAGTAGAATAGAATGGAGTGCAGTGAAATAGAGTGTAGTGGAGTAGAGTGGATTGGAGTGGAGTGGAGGAGAATGGAATGGAGTGAATTGGAATGGGATGGAATGGAGTGTAGTAGAGTGGACTGGTATTAATGGAATGTACTGGAGTGGAATGGATTGGAGTTGAGTGGAGTGGAATGGAATGGAATGGAATGGAATGGAATGGAATGGAATGGTGAAATTAAATGTGAGCTGAGGTTGTGCCACTGCATTGTAGAATGTGGAGCAGAGTGAGATCCTGTCGAAAGAAAGGGATGGAGTGGAGTGGAATCGATTGAAATGGAATAGAATGCAATGGAGTCGAGTGGAGTTTACTGGAGTGGAGTGGAGTGGAATGCTGTGGAATGGAATGGGATGGAATGGAGTGGAGTAGAGTGGAGTGGTGTGGAGTGGA
>NC_000024.10:10594039-10633440 GCF_000001405.40 Homo sapiens | reverse complement strand
GAATTCAGTGGAAAGGAATGGGATGGAATAGAATGGAATGGAGTGCAGAAGAGTGGATTGGTGTGAACTGGAGTGGAATGGAGTGGGAAAGAGTGGAATGGAATGGAATGGAATGGAATGGAATGGAATGGAATGGAATGGAATGGAGTGGAGTAGAGTGATGTGCAGTGCAGTGGAGTGGAATGGAATGGAATGGAATGGAATGGAATGGAATGGAATGGAATGGAATGGAATAGTGAAGTGAAATGTGAGCTGAGATTGTGCCACTGCACCCCAGCCTGCGTGACATAGTGAGATGTTGTCAAAAGGAAGGAATGGAGTGCAATGGAGTGGAATGGAATGGAATGGAATAATGTGGAGAGGAGTGAAGTGGAGTGGAATCGGACGGGATATAATGTAATATAGTGGAGTGGAGTGGAGTTGAATGGAGTGGAATTAACTGGAAAGTAATGGAATGGAATGGCATGGAGTGGATTGGAATTGACTGGAATTAAAGGGAATGGTATGGAATGCAATGGAATAAAATGGAATGGTGAAATGAAATGTGAGCTGAGATTGTGCCACTGCACTCCAGCCTGAGTGACAGAGCGAGATCCTGTCGAAGAAAAGGAATGGAATGGATATGGAGTGGAATGGAATGGAGTGGAGAGAAGAGGACAGGAGTGGAGTGCAGTTGAGGGGAATGGAATGATATGGATGGAATGAAATGGAGAAATGAAATGTCATGCTGATATTGTGCCACTGCACTCCAGCCAGTGTGCATAGTGAGATCTTGTTGACAGAAAGGAATGGAATGGAGTGGAATTGAATGGAAAAGAATTGAGGGGAGTGGAGTGGAGTGGAATGGAGTGGAATTGGATGGCATGGAATGTAATGGAATGGACTGCATTGGAGTGGAGTGGAATGGAGTGGAAAGGAATTGGGTGGATTAGGATGGAGTGGAATAGAGTGGAATGGAATGGAATGGAATGGAATGGAATGGAATGGAATGGAATGGAATGGAATGCAGCAGAGTGGAGTGGAGAGGAATTGTGTGGAATGGAATGGAATGGAATAGAATGGAATGGAATGGAATGCAATAAAATGGACTGTAATGCCATGGAATTGTGAAATGAAATGTGAGCTCAGAATGTGTGACTGCACTGCAGCCTGGGTGACAGAGTGAGATCCTGTCGAAAAAAGGAATAGAATGGAAAGGAGTGGAGTGGAATGGAATAGAATAGAATGGAATTGAATGGAGTGTAGTGGAATGGAGTGAAATGAATTTGCGTGAATGGAATGGGATGAAGTGGAATGGAATGGAGTAGGCAGGATTGGACTGGAGTGGAGTGGATTGGAGTTGAATGGAATGGGATGGCATAGAAAGAAGTGGAATGGCGTGTAGTGGTGTGGAGTGGAATGTAGTGGAATAGAATGGGATGGAATGGAATTGAGTGGAGTGGAGTGGAATGGATTGATTGGAATGGAATGGGATGGAATCAAAAGAAGTAGAGTGGCGTGGATTGGACTGGCGTGGCATGGCATGGAATAGGACACAATGGCGTGGAAAGGAATAGAACGGTGAAATGAAATGTGAGCTGAAATTATGACACTACACTAAGTCCTGTGTGAGAGAGTGAGATACTGTCGAAAGAAAGGAATGGAATGGAATGCATTTGAATGGAATGGAATGAAATGGAATTGGGTGGAGTGAAGTGGAGTGGAGTGGAATGGAATGGAAAAGTATGGAATGGAATGGAAAGGAATGGAATGGAATGTTGAAATGAAATGTGAGCTGAGATTGTGCCACTGCACTCCACCCTGTGTGACAGAGTGAGATCATGTGAAAAGAAAGGAATGGAATGGAAGTTAGTGTAATGGAATTGATTGGGACAGAATGGAGTACAGTTGAGTGGAGTGGAGTGGAGTTGAGTGGAGTGGAGAGGAATGGAGTGGAGTGGGGTGGAGTGGAGTGGAGTGGAGTTGAGTGGAGTGGAGAGGAATGGAGTGGAGTGGGGTGGAGTGGAGTGGAGTGGAATGGAATGGAATGGAATAGTGAAATGAAATGTGAGCTGAGATTCTTCCACTGCCCTCCAGCCTGTGTGACAGAGTCAGATCCTTTCAAAATAAAGGAATAGAATAGAATGGAATGGAGTGGAATGGAATGGAATGGAATGGAATGGAATGGAATGGAATGGAATGGAATGGAATGGCATGGCATGGAATGGAATGGAATGGCATGGAATGGAATGGCATGGAATGGAATGGCATGGAATGGAATGGAATGGAATGGATTGGAATGGAATGCAATGCAATGGTGAAATGTAATGTGACTTGACATTATGCGACTGCAGTCCAGCCTGGTTGACAGAGTGAGATACTGTCAAAAGAAAGGAATGGGATAGAGCAGAGTGGAATCAAATGAAATGGAACGGAATGCTGAAATGAAATGTGAAAAGAGATTCTGCCACTATACTCCAACCTTCGTGACAGAGTGATAACCTGTCGAAAGAAAGGAATGGAATGGAATGGACTGGTATGGAATGGAATGTAGTGGAGTGGAGTGGAGTGGGGTGGAGAGGAATGGATTGGGGTGGAGTGGAGTGGAGTGGAGTGGAATGGAATGGAATGGAATGGAATGGTGAAACGAAATCTGAGCTGATATTGTGCCACTGCACTCCAGCTTGTGTGACTGATTGAGACCATGTCGAAAGAAAGGAATGGAATGGATTGGAGTGGAATGGAATGGATTGGAGTGGAATGGAATGGATTGGAGTGGAATGGAATGGAACAGAATGCAACGGAAAGGAATGGAATGGAATGGAATGGAATGGAATGGAATGGAATGGAATAGAATGGAATGGAATGGAATGGAACAAAACGGAATGGAACGGAATGGAATGGAATGGAATGGAGTGGAATGGAATGGAATGGAATGGAATGGAATGGAATGGAATGGAATGGAATGGGAAGGAATGGCATGGAATAGAGTGGAGTGGAGTGAATGAAATGAATAGAGTGGATTGGAATGGAGTGGAGTAGCATAGAGTGGAGTGGAGTGGAGAGGTGTGTAGTGGAATGGAATGGAGTGGAGTGAAATGGAATGGAATGCAATGGTGAAATCTAATGTGAGCTGTGAATGTGCCCCTGCACACCAGCCTGCGAGACAGAGTGAGATCCTGTCAAAAGAAAGTATTGGAAAGGAAAGGAGTGGAATGCAGTGGAAAGGAATGGAATGGAATGGAGTGTAGTGGAGTGGAGTGGAGCGCAATGTAATGGAGAGGAATTGAACTGAATAGAATGTAATGGAATGGAATCGAATGGAATGGAAAGGAATGGAGTGCAATGGAATGGAATGGCGGGAGAAGGAGTGTTGTGGAGTGGAGTTTAATGGAGTGGAATGGAAAGGGATGGAGTGGAATGGAATGAAGTGGAGTGGAGTGAAGTGGAGTGGAATGGAGTGGAGAGGAATGGAGTGGAATGGAATGGGATGGAGTGGAATGGAGTGGAATGGACTGGATTGGAGTGATGTGGAATGGAGTGGAATGGAGTGGAGAGGAGTGGACTAGAGTGGAGTGTAGTGGAATGGAATGGAATTTAATGGAATTTAATGGAATTGTGAAATGAAATGTGTGCTGAGATTGTGCCACTGCACTCCAGTCTGGGTTTCAGAGTGGGATAATTTCGAAAGAAAGAAATCAAATGGAATGAAGTGGAATGGAATTGAATGGAGTGGAGTGGAATGGAGTTCAATAGAATAGGATGGAATGGAATGGAATGGAATGGAATGGAATGGAATGGAATGGAATGGAATGGAATGGAGTGGAGTGGAGTGGAGTGGAGTGGAGTGCGAGTTTAATGGATTGGAAAGGAATTCTGATTTAATGGAATCACACGCACTCGAGTGGAGTCGAGTAGAGTGGAATGGCACTCGGAACTCATATGTGGCATGGCACTCGAGTGGACGTTGAGTCGGAGTTGATGTGGAATCCCCTCCGAATGCAATGTAATGGTGAAATGACATGTGACACGAGATTGCTCCACCGAGCTCCAACCCGGGTGACAGAGTGAGACTCTGTCGACGGAAACGCATTGAATGCAATGGAGTTGAATGGAATGGAATGGAGTGTAATGGAGTGGAGTGGAGTAGAGTGGAGTGGACTGGAGTGTAGTAGAGTGGAGTGGAGTTGAGGGGGTTGCAGCCGAATAGAATGGGATGCATAGGAATGGAATGATGTGGAGTGGAGTGGAGTGGAGTCGAATGGAGAGCAGTGGACTGCAAATGCAGTGGAATGGAATGGAATGGAATGGAATAGAATGGTTTGGAGTGGAGTGGAATGGAATGGAATGGAATGGAATGGAATGGAATAGAATGGTTTGGAGTGGAGTGGAATGGAATGGAATGGAATGGAATGGAATGGAATGGAATGGAATGGAATAGAACGGAGAAATGAAATGTGAGCTGAGATTCACCACTGCACTCCAGCCTGGGTGAGAGAGTGAGATCCTGCCTAAAGAAAGGAATGTAATGGAGTGGAGTAGAATGTAATGAAGTGGATAGGAGGGGAATGGAGTGGAGTGGAGTGGAATGGAATGGAGTGGAATGGGATGGAATGGAATGGAATGGAAAGGAATGGAATGGAAACGAGTGGAATGGAATGGATTCCAACTGAATGAAATGAAATGGAATGGAATGGAATGGAATGGAATGGAATGGAATGGAATGGAATGGAATGAAAAGGGTTGGAATGGAATGGAATGGAGTGAAGTGGAATGGTTTTGAAAGGAGTGGAATGGAATGGGATGGAATAAAATGGAATGTAGTGGAGTGGAGTGCAGTGGAGTGGATGGAGTGGAAAGGATTGAGATGGAGTGTATTGAAGTGGAGTGTATGGCAGTGGAGTTGAGGGGAGTGGATTGGAGTTTAGTTGAGTGGAATTGAGTGGAGTGGAATGAATAGAGAGGAGTGGAATGGAGTGGAATATAATGGAATAGAAAGGAATGGTGAAATGAAATGTGATCTAGATTGTGGCACTGCCCTCCAGCCTGTGTAACAGAGTGAGATCCTATTTAAAGAAAGGAATGGAATACAATGAAGTGGAGTGGAATGGAAAGGAATTGAATGGAGTTGAGTGGAGTGGAATGGAATGGAGAGGAATGGGATGGAATGGAATAGAATGGAATGGAATGGAGTGGAGTGGAGTGGCGTGGAGTGGAGTGGAGTGGAGTCGAGTGGAAAGGAATGGGATGGAATACAATGAAATGGAGTGGAGCCTAGTGGAGTGCATGTAGTGGAATGGAATGGAATGAAATGGGATGGAATGGAGGGCAGTGGAGTGGAATGGAGTGGAATTGAATGGAATGCAATGGAGTAGAATAGAATGGAGTGCAGTGAAATAGAGTGTAGTGGAGTAGAGTGGATTGGAGTGGAGTGGAGGAGAATGGAATGGAGTGAATTGGAATGGGATGGAATGGAGTGTAGTAGAGTGGACTGGTATTAATGGAATGTACTGGAGTGGAATGGATTGGAGTTGAGTGGAGTGGAATGGAATGGAATGGAATGGAATGGAATGGAATGGAATGGTGAAATTAAATGTGAGCTGAGGTTGTGCCACTGCATTGTAGAATGTGGAGCAGAGTGAGATCCTGTCGAAAGAAAGGGATGGAGTGGAGTGGAATCGATTGAAATGGAATAGAATGCAATGGAGTCGAGTGGAGTTTACTGGAGTGGAGTGGAGTGGAATGCTGTGGAATGGAATGGAATGGGATGGAATGGAGTGGAGTAGAGTGGAGTGGTGTGGAGTGGAGTGAAGTGGAATGGAGTGGAATGGAATGAGATTCAACGAAATGGAGTGGAGTGGAGTGGACTAGAATGATGTGGAGTGGAGTGGAATGGAGTGGAATGGGTGGGATGGATTGGAATGGAATGGAGTGGAGTGGAGTGGAATGGAGTGGAATGGAGTGGGATGGAATGGGATGGAGTGGAGTGGACTGGAGTGGAGTGGCGGGTAATGGAGTGGAATGAAATGGAGTGGAATTGAAGGGAATGGATTTGAGTGGATTGAAGTGGAGTGGACTGAAGTGGAGTGGATTGGAGTTGGGTGCAGTGGAGTGGAATGTTACGGAATGGAATGGAATGGAATGGAATGGAATGGAATGGAATGGAATGGAATGGAATGGAATGGAAGGCAAGGCATTGGAAAGGTGAAGTGAAATATCAGCTAAGATTGTTCCAGTGCACTCCCGCCTGGATGACAGAGTGACATCCTGTCAGAAGAAAGGAATGGAATGGAAGTTAGTGTAATGGAAGGGATTGGGGTAGAATGGAGTGGAGTGGAGTGAAGTGGAATGGAATGGAGTTGAAAGGAATGGAATCGAATGGAATGGAATGGTGAAATGAAATGTGAGCTGAGATTGTGACACTGCAGTCCAGACTTTTTGACAGGGTGAGATCCTGTCAAAATAAAGGAGTGTTATGCAATGGAGTTGAATGGAATGGAATGGAATTGAAACTGAGTATATTGGAGTGGAGTCGAGTGGAGTGGAGTGGAGTCGAGTGGAGTGGAGTGGAGTCGAGTGGAATGTAGTGGAGTGGAATGGGATGGAATGGAATGGAGTGGAGTGGAGTGGTGTGGAGTGGAATGGAATAGAATGGAATGGAATGCCACGGAATGGAATGGAATGTTGAAATGAAATGTGAGCTGACACTGTGCCACTGCACTCCAACCTGGGAGACAGAATGAGATCCTTTCAAAAAATTGTATGGAATACCCTGGATTGGAATAGAGTGGAATCGAAAGGAATGGAATGGAATGGAGTGCATTGGAGTGGAGTGGATTGGAGTGGAATGGAATGGGACGAAATGGAATGCAGTGTAGTGGACTGGAGCACTTTGACGCCTATGGTGGAAAGGGAAATATATTCACATAAAACCTAGACAGAAGCATTCTGAGAAACTTCTGTGTGATTTGTTCATTCTTCTCACAGAGTTGAACCTTTCTTTTTATTGAACAGATTGGAAAAACTCTTTTTGCAGAATCTGCAAGTGGACATATGGAGCGATTTGAGGCATAAGGTGAAAAGAAACTATCTTCACATAAAAACTAGACAGAAGCATTCTGACAAACTTCTTTGTGATATATGCATTGAACTCACAGAGTTGAACTTTAGTTTTGATTGAGCAGTTTTGAAACACCATTTTTTTTAATATCTGCAACTGGACACTTGGAGTACATTGAGGCCTATTCTGGAAAAGGAAATATCTTCACAAAACTAGACAGAAGCATTCTGATAATTTTCTTTGTGATGTGTGTATTCATCTCACAGGGTTGAAACTTTCATTTGATTAAACAGCCGTGAAACACTTTGTACAATCTGCATGTGGACTTTTGGAGCGCCTTGAAGCCTATGATGGAAAAGGAAGTGTCTTCACATAAAAACTATAGAGAGAAACATTCTGACAAACTTCTTTGTGATGTGTGCATTCATCTCACAGAGTTGAACCTTAATTTCCATTGAACAGTTTTGAAACACTCTTTTTGTAGAATCTGCAAGTGAACATTTGGAGCTCTTTGAGTCCTTTGGTGGATAACGAAATATCCTCAAATAATAACTAGACAGAACCATTCTGAGAAACTTCTTTGTGATGTGTGCATTCGTCTCACAGAATTGAATATTTCTTTTGATTGAACAGCTTGGAAACACAGTTTTTGTAGAATCTACAAGAGGACATTAAGATTGCTTTGAGGCATATGGTGAATAACGAAATATCTTCACATAATAACTAGAAAGAATCATTCTGAGAAACTTCTCTGTGATGTGTGCATTCATCTCAGAATTGAACATTTCTTTCGATTGAGCATCTTGCAAACACAGTTTTTGTAGAATCTGCAAGTGGACATTTGGAGCACTTTGATGCCTATGGTGGAAAGGGAAATATCTTCACACAAACAGGACACAGAAATATTCTGACAAACTCCTTCGTAATCTGTGCATTGGTCTCACGGAGTTGAACCTTCCTTTCATTGAACAGTTCTGAAACACCCTTTTTGCAGAACCTGCAAGTGTACATTTAGAGCACTTTGAGGTCTATTGTGGAAAAGGAAATATCTTCATATAAAAACCAGATGGAGGCATTCTGAAAAGCTTCAATGTGTTGTGTGCATTCATCTTACAGCGTTGAACCTTTATTTTGATTCAGCAGTTTTGCAAGACTCTTTTAGTAAAATCTGTAAGGGGATGTTTGGAACGAATTGCATCCTTTGCCGGTAAAGGAAATATCGTCACGTAAAATCTAGACGGAAGCATTCTGAACAACTTATTTGTGATGTGTGCATTCAACTCACGGAGTTGAACCTTTCTTTTGACTGAGTAGTTTTGAAACACTCTTTTTGTAGAATCTGCAAGCGGATATTTGGAGGGCTTTGCCGCCTATAGTGGAAAAGGAAATATCTTCACATAAAAACTAGACAGAAGTATTCTGAGAAACTTCTTTGTGATGTGTACATTCATCCCTCAGACTTGAACATTTCTTTTGATTGAGCAGTTTTGAAACACACTATTTGTAGAATCTGCAAGAGGATATTTAGAGGGCTTTGTGGCCTACTGAGATAAAGGAAATATCTTCACTTAGAAACTAGACAGAAGCATTCCAAGAAACTCATTTCTGATATGTGCATTCATCTCAGAGAGTTAAAACTTTCTTTAGATTAAGCCATTTGGAAACTCTCTTTTTATAGAACCTGGAAGTGGAAATTTGAAGCACTTAGAGGCCTATGGTGGGAAAGGAAATATCTTCACATGAAAACAACACAGAAGCATTCTGAGAAACTTCTTTGTGATGTGTGCATTCACCTCACAGAGTTGAACTTTCTTTTGATTGAGCAGTTTTGAAACACTCTTTTTGTAGAATCTACATGTGCATATTTGGAGCTCTTTCAGGCCTACGATGGAAAAGGAAATATCTTCACATAAAAACTACACAGAAGCATTCTGAGAAACTTCTTTGTGATGTGTGCATTCATCTCACAGAGTTCAACCTATCTTTTGATAGAGGAGTTTTTAAACTCACTTTTTGTAGAATCTTCAAGTGGATATTTGGAGACCTTTGGGGCACATGGTGGAAAAGGAAATATTTTTACATAAAAATTACACAGAAGCATTCTAAGAAACTTCTTTCTGATGTGTGCACTCATCTCACAGAGTTGAAACTCTCTTTTGATTGAGCAGTTTTGAAACATTCTTTTTGTAGAGTCTTCAAGTGGATATTTTCTGTGCTTTGATTCCTATTGTGGAAAAGGAAATATCTTTCCACAAAATCTACACAGAAGCATTCGGAGAAACTTCTTTGTGATGTGTGCATTCATCTCACGGAGTTGAACATTTCTTTTGATTGAGTAGTTTGGAAACACTCTTTTAGTAGAATCTGCAAGTGAATATTTGGTGCACTTGGAAGTCTATTGTGAAAAAGGAAATATCTTCACGTAAAAACTACACAGGAGCATTATAAGAAACTTCTTTTGGATGTGTCCATTCATATCACAGAGTTGAAACTTTCTTATGATTGAGCAGTTTTGAAACACTCTATTCATAGAATCTGCAAGTGGATATTTGGAGCGCTTTGGGGTCAAAGGTGTAAAAGGAAATATCTTCCCTTAAAAACTACACAGAAGCATTAGAAGAAACTTCTTTGTGATGTGTGCATTCAACTCGCAGAGTTGAACCTCTCTTTTGATAGAGCAGTTTTGAAACTCCCTTTTGTAGAATCTGCACGTGGTTATTTGGACCACTTTGAGGCTGATGGTGGAAAGGGAAAAATTTCCCCCTAAAAACTACACAGAAGCATGCTGTGAATCATCTTTGTGTTGCATGCTTTCATCTAACAGAGTTGAACATTTCATTTGATTGAGCAATTTTGAAACACTCTTTCTGGAGAATCTGCAAGTGTATATTTTGAGTGCTTTGAGGCCTGTTGTGGAAAAGGAAATATCTTCACATAAAAACTACACAGAAGTATTCTCAGAAACTTATTTGTTTTGTGTGCATTCATCTCATATTGTTCAACTTTCTTTTGATTTAGCAGTTTTGACACTCTTTTTATAGAATCTGAAAGTGGATATTTGGAGCACTTTGAGGCCTATGGTGGAAAAGGAAATACCTTCACATGAAAACTACACAGAAGCATTTTGAGAAACTACTTTGCGATGTGTGTATTCAACTCGCAGAGTTGAACCTATCTTTTGATAGAGCAGTTTTGAAACTCTCTTTTTGTAGAATCTGCAAGTGGGTATTTGGAGTCCTTTCTGGCTGATAATGGAAAAGGAAATATCTGAACATAAAAACTACACAGAACCATTCTGGGAACCTTCTTTTGAAGAGTGCATTCATCTCACAGTGTTGGATATTTGATTTGATTGAGCAGTTTTGAAACACACTTTTGTAGATTCTGCAAGTATTTGCTGTGCTTTGAGGCCTATTGTGGAAAGGGAAATATCTTCCCATAAAAACTACACAGAAGCATTCTCAGAAACTTAGTTGTTTTGTTTGCATTCATCTCACAGAGTTGAACCTTTCTTTTGACGGAGCAATTTGGAAACACTCTTTCTGTAGAATCTGCAAGTGGATATGTGGAGCACTTTGAGTCCTATGGTCAAAAGGAAAAATCTTCACATAAAAACTACACAGAGGCATTCTGAGAAACTTCTTTGTGATGTCTGCATTCATCTCAGAGTTGAACCTATCTTTTGATATAGCAGTTTTGAAACTCTCTCTTTGTAGAGGCTGCAAGTGGATATTTGGAGCACTTTGTGGCCTGTGGTGGAAAAGGAATTAGCTTCACATAAAAACTACACAGTATCATTCTGAGAAACTTCTTTGTGGTGTGTGCATTCATCTCACAGAGTTGAAGGTTTATTTTGATTGAGCAGTTTTCAAACACACTTTTTGTAGAATCTGTAAATGGATATTTGGAGCCCCTTGAGGCCCATTGTGGAAAAGGAAATATCTACTCATAAAAACTACACAGAAGCACTCTGAGA
Source organism: Homo sapiens (assembly GCF_000001405.40). Taxonomy (NCBI): domain Eukaryota; kingdom Metazoa; phylum Chordata; class Mammalia; order Primates; family Hominidae; genus Homo; species Homo sapiens. Next base: position 10,622,425 of record NC_000024.10, on the reverse strand, counting down.
AACTTCCTTGTCATGTGTGCATTCAACTCACTGAGTTGAACATATCTTTTGATAGAGCAGTTTTTAAAATCTCTCTCTTTTTTTTTTTTTTTTTTTTGAGATGGAGTCTCGCTCTGTCGCCCAGGCCAGACTGCGGACTGCAGTGGCGCAATCTCGGCTCAATGCAAGCTCCGCTTCCCGGGTTCATGCCATTCTCCTGACTCAGCCTCCCAAGTAGCTGGGACTACAGGTGCCCGCCACCGCACCCGGCTAATTTTTTGTATTTTTAGTAGAGACGAGGTTTCACCCGGTTAACCAGGATGGTCTCGATCTCCTGACCTCATGATCCACCCGCCTCGGCCTCCCAAAGTGCTGGGATTACAGGCGTGAGCCACTGTGCCCGGCCTAAACTCTCTTTTTGTAGAATCTGCAAGTGGATTTTTTGAGCCCTTGCAGGTCTGTTGTGGAAATGGCAATATCTTCACATAAAAACTATACGGGAGAATTATGAGAAACCTCTTTCTGATGTGGGCATTCAACTCACAGAGTTGAACTTTTCTTTTGACTGAAAACTTTTGAAACACTCTTTTCATAGAATCTGCAAGGGGTTATTTGGAATGCTTTGAGGCATATGGTGGGAAATGAAACATCTCCACATAAAAACTACACAAAAAAATTCTAAGAAACTTCTTTGTGATGTGTGCATTCAACTCGTAGAGTTGAACCTATCTTTTCATACAGCAGTTTTGAAACTCTCTTTTTGTAGATTCTGCGTGTGATTATTTGGAGCCTTTTGTGGCCAATGGTGGAAAAGGAAATGTGTTCCCCTAAAAACTACACAGAAGCATTCTGAGAAACTTCTTTGTGATGTGTGCATTCATCTCACAGAGTGTAACCTTTCATTTGATTGAGCAGTTTTGAAACATTCTTTTTGTAGGGTGTGCAATTGGAACTTCAGAGCGCTTTGTTACCTATTGTGGAAAAGGAAATATCTTCACATAAAAACTACACAGAAGCATTCTGAGAAACTACTTTGTGATGTGGGCATTCATGTCACAGTTTTGAACCTTCCATTTGATTGAGCAGTTTTGAAATACTCGTTTGGTAGAATGTACAAGTGAATATTTGGAGCACTTTGAGGCCTATGATAGAAACGGAAATATGTTTACATAAAAACTACACAGAAGCATGCTGAGAAACCTCTTTGTGATGTGTGTATTCACCTCCGGGAGTTCAACCTATCATTTGACAGAGCGGTTTTGAAACTCTTTTTGTAGAATCTCCAAGTGGATATTTGGAGCCCTTTGCATTCTATTGTGAAAAGGAAATATCTTCACATAAAAACTACACAGACGCATTCTGAGAAACTTCTTTGTGATGTTTGCTTTCAACTCACAGAATTGAACCTTTTGTTTGAGTAGTTTTGAAACTCTCTTTTTGTAGAATCTAGAAGTGGATATTTAGAACGCTTGGAGGCCTATGGTGCAAAAACGAATAACTTCACACAAAAAATACACAGAAGCATTCTGAGAAACTTCTTTACGATGTCTGCATTCACCTCACAGATTTGAATGTCTCTTTTGATTGAGCAGTTTGGAAGCACTCTTTCGGTAGAATCTGCAAGTGGATATGGAGAGAGCTTTGAGGCCTGTTGTGGAAAACTAAATATCTTCATATAAAAGCTACACAGAAGCATTCTGAGAAACTCCTTTGTTATGTGTGCATTCATCTCACAGAGTTGAAACTTTCTTTTGATTCGGCAGTTTTGAAACACGGTTTTTGTAGAATCTTCAAGTGGATATTTGGAGCACTTTTCTGCCTATTGTGTAAAAGGAAATATCTTTACATAAGAACTACACAGAAGCATTCTGAGAAACTTCTTTGTGATGTTCTTAACTCACAGCGTTAAACTTACCTTTGGTAGAGCAGTTTTGAAACTCTCTTTCTGTGGAAAATGCAAGTGGGTATTTAGAGCCATTTGTGGCCTATGGTGGAAAGGAAAATATCTTCACATAAAAACTACACAGAAGCATTCTGAGAAATTACCTTTTGATGTGTGCATTTGTCTCAGACTGGAACCTTCCTTTTGTTTGAGCAGTTCTGAAACACTCTTTTTGTAGAATCTGGAAGTGCATATTTGGAGTGCTTTGAGGCCTATGGTGGAAAAAGAAATATCTTCATTTAAAAACTACACAGAAGCATTCTGAGAAACTTCTTTGTGATGTGTGTATTCATACCACAGAGTCGAAACTATCGTTTGAGAGAGCATTTCGAAACTTTCTTTTTGTAGGATCTGCAAGTGGATATTTGGAGGGCTTTCAGGCCTATGGTGGAAAAGGAAATATCTTCACATAAACACTACTCAGAAGCATTCTGAGAAACTTCTTCACGATGGTTGCACTAAACTCTCAGAGTTGAACTTATCTTTTGATAGAGCAGTTTTGAAACTCTGTGTTACTAGAATCTGCATGTGGTTATTTGGAGTCCTTTGTGACCGATGGTGGAAAAGGAAATATCTTCCCCTAAAAAGTACACAGAAGCATTCTGAGAAACTTTTTTGACATGTGTGCACTAATCTCACAGAGTTTAATCTATCATTTGATTGAGCAGTTTTAAAAAACTTTTTTTGTGGAATCTGCAATTGGATATTTGGAACGCTTTGAGGCCTATTGTGGAAAAGGCAATATCTTCACATAAAAACTACACAGAAACATTCCGAGAAACTTCTCTGTGATGTGTGCACTCATCTCACGGAGTTGAACCTTTCTTTGATTGACAAGTTTTGAAAGACTATGTTTCTATAATGTGCAAGTGGATATTTGGAGTGCTTTGAGGCATATGGTGGAAAAGGAAATATATTCACATAAAACTATACAGAAGCGTTCCCAGAAACTTATTTGTGATGTGTTTATTCAACTCGCAGAGTTGACCCTATCTTTTGATACAGCAGTTTTGAAACTCTCTTTTTGTAGAATCTGCAAGTGGATATTTGCAGCGCTTTGAGGCCTGCGGTGGAAAAGGAAATATCTTCACATAAAAACTACACAGAAGCATTCTCAGTAACTTCTTTGTAATGTGTGCATTCACCTCACAGACTTGAAACTTCCTCTTGATTGAGCAGCTTGGAAACACACTTTTAGTGAAATCTGCAAGTGGATATTTGGAGCACCTTGAGGCCTGTTGTGGAAAAGGAAATATCTTCACATAAAAACTACACAGAAGCATTCCAATAAACTTGTTTGTGATATGTACCTTCAACTGACAGATTTGAACCTTTCTTTTGATTAAATAGTTTTGAACATCTCTTTTTGTAGAATCTGCAAGTGGATATTTGGAGTGCTTTGAGGCCTATGGTGGAAAAGGAAATATCTTTACATAAAAACTACACAGAAGCATTCTGAGAAACTACTTTGTGATGTGTGCATTCATATCACATAGTTGAACCTATCTTTTGATAGAGCACTTTTGAGACTCTCTTTTTGTAGAATCTGCAAGTGGATATTTGGAGCCCTTTGCAGCCTATGGTGGAAAAGGAAACATCTTCACATAAAAACTACACAGAAGCATTCTCAGAAACTACTTTGTGATGTGTGCGTTCAGCTCACAGACTTGAAACTTCCTCTTGATTGAGCAGTTTGGAAACACTCTTTAGTAAAATCTGCAAGTGGATATTCGGAGCACTTTGAGGCCTGTTGTGGAGAAGGAAATATCTTCACATAAAAACTACACAGACGCATTCCGAGAAACTTGTTTGTGATATGTGCATTCAACTGACAGAGTTGAACCTTTCTTTTGATTGACTAGTTTGGAAAATCTCTTTTTGTAGAATCTGCAAGTGGATATTTGGAGTGCTTTGAGGCCTATGGTGGAAAAGGAAATATCTTTACATAAAAACTACACGGAAGCATTCTGAGAAACTACTTTGTGATGTGTGCATTCATATCACATATTTGAACCTATCTTTTGATAGAGCATTTCGAAACTCTCTTTTTGTAGAATCTGCAAGTGGATATTTGGAGCCCTTGGTAGTCTATGGTGGAAAAGGAAATATCCTCACATAAAAACCACACAGAAGCATTCCCAGAAACTTTCTGTGATGTGTGCATTCATCTCACAGTGTTGAAACATTCTTTTAACTGAGCATTTTTGAAAAATTCTGTTTTTATAATTTACAAGTGAATATTTGGAGCACTTTGAAGCCTATGGTGGAAAAGGAAATATTTCACATAAAAACTACACAGAAGCATTCTCAGAAACTCCTTTGTGATGTGTGCATTCATCTCACAGAGTTGAACTTTTCTTTTGCTTGAGCAGTTTTGAAAGACTCTTTTTGTAGTTTCTGCAAGTGGATATTTGGAGTGCTTTGTGGCCTAAAGTGGAAAAGGAAATATCTTCACATGAAAACTACACAGAAGCATTCTGAGAAACTTGTCTGTGATGTGTGCATTCAACTCGCAGAGCTGAACCTATCTTTTGACAGAGCAGTTTTGAAACTCTCCTTGTGTAGAATCTGCATGTGGTTATTTGGAGGCCTTTGTGACCGATGGTGGAAAGGAAAACGCCTTCCCCAAAAAACTACACAAAATCATTCTGAGAAACTTCTTTGTCAGGTGTGTATTCATTTCTTAGAGTTGAAGCTTCCATTTGATTGAGCAGTTTTGAAACACTCTTTTTGTAGAATCCACATTTGGATATTTGGAGGGCTTCGAGACCTATTGTGGAAAAGGAAGTATCTTCACTTAAAAACTACACAGAAGCATTTGCAGAAACTCCTTTGTTTTGTGTGCATTCATCTCACAGAGTTGAGCCTTTCTTTTGATTGAGCAGTTTTGAAAATCTCTTTTTGTAGAATCTGCAAGTGGATATTTGGAGCCCTTTGCAGCCTATGGTGGAAAAGAAAATATCTTAACATAAAAAATACACAGAAGCATTCTGAGAAACTTCTTTGTGATGTGTGCATTCAACTCATGCAGCTGAACCTCTTTTTTTGACAGAGCAGTTTTGAAACTCTCATTTTGTAGAATCTGCAAGTGTATATTTGGATATCTTTGAGACATATAGTGGAAAAGGAAATATCTTCCCATAAAACTACAATGAAGCCCTCTGAGAAACTTCGTTGTGATGTATGCATTAATCTCACGGAGTTCAACCTATCTTTTGATGGAGGAGTTTTGAATCTCTTTTTGTAGAATCTGCAAGTGGATACTTGGAGCACTTTCCGGCCTATTTTGGAAAAGGAAATAAGTTCACATAAAAACTACCCAGAACCATAATGAGAAACTATCTTTTAATGTCTGCATTCATCTCACAGGGTTGAACGTTTCATTTGATTGAACAGTTTTGAAACACTCTTTTTGTAGAATCTGCTATTGGATATTTGTAGTGCTTTGATGCCTATGGTAGAAAAGGAAAGATCTTCACATAAAAACTACAGAGAAGCATTGTGAGAAACGTCTTTGTTATTAGTGAATTCATCAAAAAGAGTTGTACCTTTCTTTTGATTGAGCAGTTTTGAAACACTCTTTTTGTAGAATCTGCAAGTGGATATTTGGAGCACTTTGAGGCCTATGGTGGAAAAGAAAATATCTTCATATGAAAACTACACAGAAGCATTCTGAGAAAATTCTTTGTGATGTGTGCATTCCAACCACAGACTTGAACTGATCTTTTGATAGAGCAGTTTTTAAAGTGTCTTTCTGTAGAATCTGCAAGTGGTTACTTGGAGACCTTTGTGGAAGATGGTGGAAAAGGAAATATCTTCCCGTAAAAACTACACAGATGCATTCTGAGAAACTTCTTTGTGATGTGTGCATTCATCTCACAGAGTTCAACCTATCTTTTTGTAGAGCAGTTTTGAAACTCTCTTTTCCTAGAATCTGTAAGTTGATATTTGGAGCCCTTTGCGGCCTATTGTGGAAAAGGAAATAACTTCACATGAAAACTACACAGAAGCTGAGAAACTTCTTTGTGATGTGTGCATTAATTTCCCAGAGTCGAACCTTTCTTTTGATTGAGCAGTTTTGAAACACTCTTTTTGTAGAATCTGCAAGTGGACATTTGAAGCACTTTGAGGCCTATTGTTGAAAAGGAAACATCTTCATATAAAAACAACAAGGAAGCATTCTGAGAAACCATTTTGTGCTGTGTGCATTCACCTCACAGAGTTCAACTTTATTTGATACAGCAGTTTTGAAACACTCTTCTTGTGGAATCTGCAAGTGGAAATTGGGAAATATTTAGGCATATGGTGGAAAAGGAAACATCCGCACATAAAAACTACACAGACACATTCTGTGAAACTTCTTTGTGCTGTGTGCATTCAAACCACAGAGTTGAACCTATCTTTTGAATGAGCAGTTTTGAAACTCTCTTTTCATAGTATCTGCAAGTGGATATTTGGAGCCTTTTGTGGCCTACGGTGGGAAAGGAAATATCTTCATATAAAAACTACACAGAAGCATTCTGAGAAACTTCTCAGTGATGTGAGCATTCTTCTCACAGAGTTGAACTATCTTTTGATTGAGCAGTTTTGAAACACTGTTTTTTTTAGAATCTGCAAGTGAATATTTGGAGCCTTTTGGGTCTTATTGTGGAAAAGGAAATATCTTCACATAAAAACTACACAGAAGCATTCTGAGAAACTTCTTTGTCATGTGTGGATTCATCTCACAGAGTTAAATCTTTCTTTTGATTGAGCAGTTTGCAAACACTCTTTTTGTGGTATCTCCAGGAGGATATTTGGAGTGCTTTGAGGCCTATGTTGGAAAAGGAAGTATCTTCCCTTAAAAGCTATGCAGAAGCATTCTGAGAAACTTCCTTCTGATGTGTGCATTCATCTCACCTAGTTGAACCTTTCTTTTGGTTGTGCACTTTTGAAACACTCTTTTTGTGGAATCTGCAAGTGGATATCTGGATCACTTTGACGTCTATTGTGGAAAAGGAAATATCTTCACATAAAAACTACACAGAAGAATTCCGACATAGTTCTTTGTGATGTGTGCATTCAACTCACATAGTTGAAACCATCTCTTGATCGAGTAGTTTTGAACCTCTCTTGTAGAATCTGAAAGTGGATATTTGTGTCCCCTGGCGGTCTATGGTGGAAAAGAAATATCTTCACAAAAATACTACACAGAAGCATTCTGAGAAACTTCTTTGTGATGTGTCCATTCATCTCACAGAGTTGAACCTTTCTTTTGATTGAGCAGTTTTGAAATACTCCTTTTGTAGAATCTGCAAGTGGATATTTTGAGTGCTTTGAGAACTATTGTGGAAAAGGAATTATCTTCTCATAAAACCTACACTGAAGGATTCTGAGAAATTTCTTGTGATGTGTGCATTCATCTCACAGAGTTGAACATTTCCTATGATTGAGCAGTTTGGAAATATTCTTTTCATAGAATCTGGAAGTGGATATTTGGAGCCCTTTGAGGCCTATTGTGGAAAAGGAAATATCTTCACATAAAAACTACAGAGAAGCATTCTGAGAAACTTCTTTGTGATGTGTGCATTCATCAAACAGAATTGAACATTTCTTTTTTTGTGCAGTTTTGAAACAATCTTGTAGTATCTGCAAGTGGATATTTGGAGCGTTTTAAGACCTAAGGTGGGAAAGGAAATATCTTCACATAAAAATTACACAGAGAGATTCTGAGAAACTTCTTTGTGATGTGTGCATTCATCTCATATATTTGAACCTTTCTTTTCATTGTGCAGTTTCCAAGCAATCTTTTTCTAGAATATGTAAGTGGATATTTGGAGCACTTTGTGGACTATGGAGGGAAAAGAAATGTCTTCACATAAAAACTACACAGAAGCATTGGGAGAAAATTCTTGTGATATTTGTGTTCAACCCACAAAGTTGAACATATTGTTTGATAGAGCAGTTGTGAAACTCTCTTTTTGTAGAATCTGCAAGTGGGTATTTGGAGCCCTTTGTGGCCCATGGTAGAAAAGGAACTATCTTCACAGAAAAACTACCCAGAAGCATTTTGAGAAACTTCTTTGTGATTTGTGCACTCATCTCACGGTGTTGAAACTTTATTTTTATTGAGCAATTTTGAACATTCCTTTTTATAGAATCTACAAGTGGATATTTGGAGTGGTTTGAGACCTATGGTAGAAAAAGAACTATCTTCACCGAAAAACCACACAGAAGCATTTTGAGAAGCTTCTTTTTGATGTATGCATTCAACTCACAGAGACGAACTGATCTTTTGATAGAGCAGTTTTGAAACTCACTTTTGTAGAATCTGCAGGTGGATATTTGGAGTACATTGCGGCCTATGGTGAAAAAGGAACTATCTTCGCATGAGAACCAGGCAGAAACATTCTGAGAAACTAGTTTGTGATGTGTGCATTCATCTCACAGAGTTGAAATCATTTTTTGATTTGAGTAGTTTGGAAACACTCTTTTTGTGGAATCTCTAAGGGCATATTTGAAGCGTTTTGCACGCTGTTGTGGAAAAGGAAATATCTTCACATAAAAACTACACAGAAGCATTCTGAGAAACTACTTTGTGATGTGGGCATTCATGTCACAGTTTTGAACCTTCCATTTGATTGAGCAGTTTTGAAATACTCGTTTGGTAGAATGTACAAGTGAATATTTGGAGCACTTTGAGGCCTATGATAGAAACGGAAATATGTTTACATAAAAACTACACAGAAGCATGCTGAGAAACCTCTTTGTGATGTGTGTATTCACCTCCGGGAGTTCAACCTATCATTTGACAGAGCGGTTTTGAAACTCTTTTTGTAGAATCTCCAAGTGGATATTTGGAGCCCTTTGCATTCTACTGTGAAAAGGAAATATCTTCACATCAAAACTACACAGACGCATTCTGAGAAACTTCTTTGTGATGTTTGCTTTCAACTCACAGAATTGAACCTTTTGTTTGAGTAGTTTTGAAACTCTCTTTTTGTAGAATCTAGAAGTGGATATTTAGAACGCTTGGAGGCCTATGGTGCAAAAACGAATAACTTCACACAAAAAATACACAGAAGCATTCTGAGAAACTTCTTTACGATGTCTGCATTCACCTCACAGATTTGAATGTCTCTTTTGATTGAGCAGTTTGGAAGCACTCTTTCGGTAGAATCTGCAAGTGGATATGGAGAGAGCTTTGAGGCCTGTTGTGGAAAACTAAATGTCTTCATATAAAAGCTACACAGAAGCATTCTGAGAAACTCCTTTGTTATGTGTGCATTCATCTCACAGAGTTGAACCTTTCTTTTGATTCGGCAGTTTTGAAACACGGTTTTTGTAGAATCTTCAAGTGGATATTTGGAGCACTTTTCTGCCTATTGTGTAAAAGGAAATATCTTTACGTAAGAACTACACAGAAGCATTCTGAGAAACTTCTTTGTGATGTTCTTAACTCACAGCGTTAAACTTACCTTTGGTAGAGCAGTTTTGAAACTCTCTTTTTGTGGAAAATGTAAGTGGGTATTTAGAGCCATTTGTGGCCTATGGTGGAAAGGAAAATATCTTCACATAAAAACTACACAGAAGCATTCTGAGAAACTACCTTTTGATGTGTGTATTTGTCTCAGACTGGAACCTTCCTTTTGATTGAGCAGTTCTGAAACACTCTTTTTGTAGAATCTGGAAGTGCATATTTGGAGTGCTTTGAGGCCTATGGTGGAAAAAGAAATATCTTCATTTAAAAACTACACAGAAGCATTCTGAGAAACTTCTTTGTGATGTGTGTATTCATACCACAGAGTCGAAACTATCGTTTGAGAGAGCATTTCGAAACTTTCTTTTTGTAGGATCTGCAAGTGGATATTTGGAGGGCTTTCAGGCCTATGGTGGAAAAGGAAATATCTTCACATAAACACTACTCAGAAGCATTCTGAGAAACTTCTTCACGATGGTTGCACTAAACTCTCAGAGTTGAACTTATCTTTTGATAGAGCAGTTTTGAAACTCTGTGTTACTAGAATCTGCATGTGGTTATTTGGAGTCCTTTGTGGCCGATGGTGGAAAAGGAAATATCTTCCCCTAAAAAGTACACAGAAGCATTCTGAGAAACTTTTTTGACATGTGTGCACTAATCTCACAGAGTTTAATCTATCATTTGATTGAGCAGTTTTAAAAAACTTTTTTTGTGGAATCTGCAATTGGACATTTGGAACGCTTTGAGGCCTATTGTGGAAAAGGCAATATCTTCACATAAAAACTACACAGAAACATTCCGAGAAACTTCTCTGTGATGTGTGCACTCATCTCACGGAGTTGAACCTTTCTTTGATTGACAAGTTTTGAAAGACTATGTTTCTATAATGTGCAAGTGGATATTTGGAGTGCTTTGAGGCATATGGTGGAAAAGGAAATATATTCACATAAAACTATACAGAAGCGTTCCCAGAAACTTATTTGTGATGTGTTTATTCAACTCGCAGAGTTGACCCTATCTTTTGATACAGCAGTTTTGAAACTCTCTTTTTGTAGAATCTGCAAGTGGATATTTGCAGCGCTTTGAGGCCTGCGGTGGAAAAGGAAATATCTTCACATAAAAACTACACAGAAGCATTCTCAGTAACTTCTTTGTAATGTGTGCATTCACCTCACAGACTTGAAACTTCCTCTTGATTGAGCAGCTTGGAAACACACTTTTAGTGAAATCTGCAAGTGGATATTTGGAGCACCTTGAGGCCTGTTGTGGAAAAGGAAATATCTTCACATAAAAACTACACAGAAGCATTCCAATAAACTTGTTTGTGATATGTACCTTCAACTGACAGATTTGAACCTTTCTTTTGATTAAATAGTTTTGAACATCTCTTTTTGTAGAATCTGCAAGTGGATATTTGGAGTGCTTTGAGGCCTATGGTGGAAAAGGAAATATCTTTACATAAAAACTACACAGAAGCATTCTGAGAAACTACTTTGTGATGTGTGCATTCATATCACATAGTTGAACCTATCTTTTGATAGAGCACTTTTGAGACTCTCTTTTTGTAGAATCTGCAAGTGGATATTTGGAGCCCTTTGCAGCCTATGGTGGAAAAGGAAACATCTTCACATAAAAACTACACAGAAGCCTTCTCAGAAACTACTTTGTGATGTGTGCGTTCAGCTCACAGACTTGAAACTTCCTCTTGATTGAGCAGTTTGGAAACACTCTTTAGTAAAATCTGCAAGTGGATATTCGGAGCACTTTGAGGCCTGTTGTGGAGAAGGAAATATCTTCACATAAAAACTACACAGACGCATTCCGAGAAACTTGTTTGTGATATGTGCATTCAACTGACAGAGTTGAACCTTTCTTTTGATTGACTAGTTTTGAAAATCTCTTTTTGTAGAATCTGCAAGTGGATATTTGGAGTGCTTTGAGGCCTATGGTGGAAAAGGAAATATCTTCATATGAAAACTACACAGAAGCATTCTGAGAAAATTCTTTGTGATGTGTGCATTCAAACCACAGACTTGAACTGATCTTTTGATAGAGCAGTTTTTAAAGTGTCTTTCTGTAGAATCTGCAAGTGGTTACTTGGAGACCTTTGTGGAAGATGGTGGAAAAGGAAATGTCTTCCCGTAAAAACTACACAGATGCATTCTGAGAAACTTCTTTGTGATGTGTGCATTCATCTCACAGAGTTCAACCTATCTTTTCGTAGAGCAGTTTTGAAACTCTCTTTTCCTAGAATCTGTAAGTTGATATTTGGAGCCCTTTGCGGCCTATTGTGGAAAAGGAAATAACTTCACATGAAAACTACACAGAAGCTGAGAAACTTCTTTGTGATGTGTGCATTAATTTCCCAGAGTCGAACCTTTCTTTTGATTGAGCAGTTTTGAAACACTCTTTTTGTAGAATCTGCAAGTGGACATTTGAAGCACTTTGAGGCCTATTGTTGAAAAGGAAACATCTTCATATAAAAACAACAAGGAAGCATTCTGAGAAACCATTTTGTGCTGTGTGCATTCACCTCACAGAGTTCAACTTTATTTGATACAGCAGTTTTGAAACACTCTTCTTGTAGAATCTGCAAGTGGAAATTGGGAAATATTTAGGCATATGGTGGAAAAGGAAACATCCGCACATAAAAACTACACAGACACATTCTGTGAAACTTCTTTGTGCTGTGTGCATTCAAACCACAGAGTTGAACCTATCTTTTGAATGAGCAGTTTTGAAACTCTCTTTTCATAGTATCTGCAAGTGGATATTTGGAGCCTTTTGTGGCCTACGGTGGGAAAGGAAATATCTTCATATAAAAACTACACAGAAGCATTCTGAGAAACTTCTCAGTGATGTGAGCATTCTTCTCACAGAGTTGAACCTTTCTTTTGATTGAGCAGTTTTGAAACACTGTTTTTTTTAGAATCTGCAAGTGAATATTTGGAGCCTTTTGGGTCTTATTGTGGAAAAGGAAATATCTTCACATAAAAACTACACAGAAGCATTCTGAGAAACTTCTCAGTGATGTGAGCATTCTTCTCACAGAGGTGAAACTTTCTTTTGATTGAGCAGTTTTGAAACACTGTTTTTTTTAGAATCTGCAAGTGAATATTTGGAGCCTTTTGGGTCTTATTGTGGAAAAGGAAATATCTTCACATAAAAACTACACAGAAGCATTCTGAGAAACTTCTTTGTCATGTGTGGATTCATCTCACAGAGTTAAATCTTTCTTTTGATTGAGCAGTTTGCAAACACTCTTTTTGTGGTATCTCCAGGAGGATATTTGGAGTGCTTTGAGGCCTATGTTGGAAAAGGAAGTATCTTCCCTTAAAAGCTATGCAGAAGCATTCTGAGAAACTTCCTTCTGATGTGTGCATTCATCTCACCTAGTTGAACCTTTCTTTTGGTTGTGCACTTTTGAAACACTCTTTTTGTGGAATCTGCAAGTGGATATCTGGATCACTTTGACGTCTATTGTGGAAAAGGAAATATCTTCACATAAATACTACACAGAAGAATTCCGACATAGTTCTTTGTGATGTGTGCATTCAACTCACATAGTTGAAACCATCTCTTGATCGAGTAGTTTTGAACCTCTCTTGTTGTAGAATCTGAAAGTGGATATTTGTGTCCCCTGGCGGTCTATGGTGGAAAAGAAATATCTTCACAAAAATACTACACAGAAGCATTCTGAGAAACTTCTTTGTGATGTGTCCATTCATCTCACAGAGTTGAACCTTTCTTTTGATTGAGCAGTTTTGAAATACTCCTTTTGTAGAATCTGCAAGTGGATATTTTGAGTGCTTTGAGAACTATTGTGGAAAAGGAATTATCTTCTCATAAAACCTACACTGAAGGATTCTGAGAAATTTCTTGTGATGTGTGCATTCATCTCACAGAGTTGAACATTTCCTATGATTGAGCAGTTTGGAAATATTCTTTTCATAGAATCTGGAAGTGGATATTTGGAGCCCTTTGAGGCCTATTGTGGAAAAGGAAATATCTTCACATAAAAACTACAGAGAAGCATTCTGAGAAACTTCTTTGTGATGTGTGCATTCATCAAACAGAATTGAACATTTCTTTTTTTGTGCAGTTTTGAAACAATCTTCTTGTAGTATCTGCAAGTGGATATTTGGAGCGTTTTAAGACCTAAGGTGGGAAAGGAAATATCTTCACATAAAAATTACACAGAGAGATTCTGAGAAACTTCTTTGTGATGTGTGCATTCATCTCATATATTTGAACCTTTCTTTTCATTGTGCAGTTTCCAAGCAATCTTTTTCTAGAATATGTAAGTGGATATTTGGAGCACTTTGTGGACTATGGAGGGAAAAGAAATGTCTTCACATAAAAACTACACAGAAGCATTGGGAGAAAATTCTTGTGATATTTGTGTTCAACCCACAAAGTTGAACATATTGTTTGATAGAGCAGTTGTGAAACTCTCTTTTTGTAGAATCTGCAAGTGGGTATTTGGAGCCCTTTGTGGCCCATGGTAGAAAAGGAACTATCTTCACAGAAAAACTACCCAGAAGCATTTTGAGAAACTCCTTTGTGATTTGTGCACTCATCTCACGGTGTTGAAACTTTATTTTTATTGAGCAATTTTGAACATTCCTTTTTATAGAATCTACAAGTGGATATTTGGAGTGGTTTGAGACCTATGGTAGAAAAAGAACTATCTTCACCGAAAAACCACACAGAAGCATTTTGAGAAGCTTCTTTTTGATGTATGCATTCAACTCACAGAGACGAACTGATCTTTTGATAGAGCAGTTTTGAAACTCACTTTTGTAGAATCTGCAGGTGGATATTTGGAGTACATTGCGGCCTATGGTGAAAAAGGAACTATCTTCGCATGAGAACCAGGCAGAAACATTCTGAGAAACTAGTTTGTGATGTGTGCATTCATCTCACAGAGTTGAAATCATTTTTTGATTTGAGTAGTTTGGAAACACTCTTTTTGTGGAATCTCTAAGGGCATATTTGAAGCGTTTTGCACGCTGTTGTGGAAAAGGAAATATCTTCACATAAAAACTACACAGAAGCATTCTGAGAAACTACTTTGTGATGTGGGCATTCATGTCACGGTTTTGAACCTTCCATTTGATTGAGCAGTTTTGAAATACTCGTTTGGTAGAATGTACAAGTGAATATTTGGAGCACTTTGAGGCCTATGATAGAAACGGAAATATGTTTACATAAAAACTACACAGAAGCATGCTGAGAAACCTCTTTGTGATGTGTGTATTCACCTCCGGGAGTTCAACCTATCATTTGACAGAGCGGTTTTGAAACTCTTTTTGTAGAATCTCCAAGTGGATATTTGGAGCCCTTTGCATTCTACTGTGAAAAGGAAATATCTTCACATCAAAACTACACAGACGCATTCTGAGAAACTTCTTTGTGATGTTTGCTTTCAACTCACAGAATTGAACCTTTTGTTTGAGTAGTTTTGAAACTCTCTTTTTGTAGAATCTAGAAGTGGATATTTAGAACGCTTGGAGGCCTATGGTGCAAAAACGAATAACTTCACACAAAAAATACACAGAAGCATTCTGAGAAACTTCTTTACGATGTCTGCATTCACCTCACAGATTTGAATGTCTCTTTTGATTGAGCAGTTTGGAAGCACTCTTTCGGTAGAATCTGCAAGTGGATATGGAGAGAGCTTTGAGGCCTGTTGTGGAAAACTAAATGTCTTCATATAAAAGCTACACAGAAGCATTCTGAGAAACTCCTTTGTTATGTGTGCATTCATCTCACAGAGTTGAACCTTTCTTTTGATTCGGCAGTTTTGAAACACGGTTTTTGTAGAATCTTCAAGTGGATATTTGGAGCACTTTTCTGCCTATTGTGTAAAAGGAAATATCTTTACGTAAGAACTACACAGAAGCATTCTGAGAAACTTCTTTGTGATGTTCTTAACTCACAGCGTTAAACTTACCTTTGGTAGAGCAGTTTTGAAACTCTCTTTTTGTGGAAAATGTAAGTGGGTATTTAGAGCCATTTGTGGCCTATGGTGGAAAGGAAAATATCTTCACATAAAAACTACACAGAAGCATTCTGAGAAACTACCTTTTGATGTGTGTATTTGTCTCAGACTGGAACCTTCCTTTTGATTGAGCAGTTCTGAAACACTCTTTTTGTAGAATCTGGAAGTGCATATTTGGAGTGCTTTGAGGCCTATGGTGGAAAAAGAAATATCTTCATTTAAAAACTACACAGAAGCATTCTGAGAAACTTCTTTGTGATGTGTGTGTGTATTCATACCACAGAGTCGAAACTATCGTTTGAGAGAGCATTTCGAAACTTTCTTTTTGTAGGATCTGCAAGTGGATATTTGGAGGGCTTTCAGGCCTATGGTGGAAAAGGAAATATCTTCACATAAACACTACTCAGAAGCATTCTGAGAAACTTCTTCACGATGGTTGCACTAAACTCTCAGAGTTGAACTTATCTTTTGATAGAGCAGTTTTGAAACTCTGTGTTACTAGAATCTGCATGTGGTTATTTGGAGTCCTTTGTGGCCGATGGTGGAAAAGGAAATATCTTCCCCTAAAAAGTACACAGAAGCATTCTGAGAAACTTTTTTGACATGTGTGCACTAATCTCACAGAGTTTAATCTATCATTTGATTGAGCAGTTTTAAAAAACTTTTTTTGTGGAATCTGCAATTGGATATTTGGAACGCTTTGAGGCCTATTGTGGAAAAGGCAATATCTTCACATAAAAACTACACAGAAACATTCCGAGAAACTTCTCTGTGATGTGTGCACTCATCTCACGGAGTTGAACCTTTCTTTGATTGACAAGTTTTGAAAGACTATGTTTCTATAATGTGCAAGTGGATATTTGGAGTGCTTTGAGGCATATGGTGGAAAAGGAAATATATTCACATAAAACTATACAGAAGCGTTCCCAGAAACTTATTTGTGATGTGCTTATTCAACTCGCAGAGTTGACCCTATCTTTTGATACAGCAGTTTTGAAACTCTCTTTTTGTAGAATCTGCAAGTGGATATTTGCAGCGCTTTGAGGCCTGCGGTGGAAAAGGAAATATCTTCACATAAAAACTACACAGAAGCATTCTCAGTAACTTCTTTGTAATGTGTGCATTCACCTCACAGACTTGAAACTTCCTCTTGATTGAGCAGCTTGGAAACACACTTTTAGTGAAATCTGCAAGTGGATATTTGGAGCACCTTGAGGCCTGTTGTGGAAAAGGAAATATCTTCACATAAAAACTACACAGAAGCATTCCAATAAACTTGTTTGTGATATGTACCTTCAACTGACAGATTTGAACCTTTCTTTTGATTAAATAGTTTTGAAAATCTCTTTTTGTAGAATCTGCAAGTGGATATTTGGAGTGCTTTGAGGCCTATGGTGGAAAAGGAAATATCTTTACATAAAAACTACACAGAAGCATTCTGAGAAACTACTTTGTGATGTGTGCATTCATATCACATAGTTGAACCTATCTTTTGATAGAGCACTTTTGAAACTCTCTTTTTGTAGAATCTGCAAGTGGATATTTGGAGCCCTTTGCAGCCTATGGTGGAAAAGGAAACATCTTCACATAAAAACTACACAGAAGCATTCTCAGAAACTACTTTGTGATGTGTGCGTTCAGCTCACAGACTTGAAACTTCCTCTTGATTGAGCAGTTTGGAAACACTCTTTAGTAAAATCTGCAAGTGGATATTCGGAGCACTTTGAGGCCTGTTGTGGAGAAGGAAATATCTTCACATAAAAACTACACAGACGCATTCCGAGAAACTTGTTTGTGATATGTGCATTCAACTGACAGAGTTGAACCTTTCTTTTGATTGACTAGTTTTGAAAATCTCTTTTTGTAGAATCTGCAAGTGGATATTTGGAGTGCTTTGAGGCCTATGGTGGAAAAGGAAATATCTTCATATGAAAACTACACAGAAGCATTCTGAGAAAATTCTTTGTGATGTGTGCATTCAAACCACAGACTTGAACTGATCTTTTGATAGAGCAGTTTTTAAAGTGTCTTTCTGTAGAATCTGCAAGTGGTTACTTGGAGACCTTTGTGGAAGATGGTGGAAAAGGAAATGTCTTCCCGTAAAAACTACACAGATGCATTCTGAGAAACTTCTTTGTGATGTGTGCATTCATCTCACAGAGTTCAACCTATCTTTTCGTAGAGCAGTTTTGAAACTCTCTTTTCCTAGAATCTGTAAGTTGATATTTGGAGCCCTTTGCGGCCTATTGTGGAAAAGGAAATAACTTCACATGAAAACTACACAGAAGCTGAGAAACTTCTTTGTGATGTGTGCATTAATTTCCCAGAGTCGAACCTTTCTTTTGATTGAGCAGTTTTGAAACACTCTTTTTGTAGAATCTGCAAGTGGACATTTGAAGCACTTTGAGGCCTATTGTTGAAAAGGAAACATCTTCATATAAAAACAAGGAAGCATTCTGAGAAACCATTTTGTGCTGTGTGCATTCACCTCACAGAGTTCAACTTTATTTGATACAGCAGTTTTGAAACACTCTTCTTGTAGAATCTGCAAGTGGAAATTGGGAAATATTTAGGCATATGGTGGAAAAGGAAACATCCGCACATAAAAACTACACAGACACATTCTGTGAAACTTCTTTGTGCTGTGTGCATTCAAACCACAGAGTTGAACCTATCTTTTGAATGAGCAGTTTTGAAACTCTCTTTTCATAGTATCTGCAAGTGGATATTTGGAGCCTTTTGTGGCCTATGGTGGGAAAGGAAATATCTTCATATAAAAACTACACAGAAGCATTCTGAGAAACTTCTCAGTGATGTGAGCATTCTTCTCACAGAGTTGAACTATCTTTTGATTGAGCAGTTTTGAAACACTGTTTTTTTTAGAATCTGCAAGTGAATATTTGGAGCCTTTTGGGTCTTATTGTGGAAAAGGAAATATCTTCACATAAAAACTACACAGAAGCATTCTGAGAAACTTCTCAGTGATGTGAGCATTCTTCTCACAGAGTTGAACTATCTTTTGATTGAGCAGTTTTGAAACACTGTTTTTTTTAGAATCTGCAAGTGAATATTTGGAGCCTTTTGGGTCTTATTGTGGAAAAGGAAATATCTTCACATAAAAACTACACAGAAGCATTCTGAGAAACTTCTTTGTCATGTGTGGATTCATCTCACAGAGTTAAATCTTTCTTTTGATTGAGCAGTTTGCAAACACTCTTTTTGTGGTATCTCCAGGAGGATATTTGGAGTGCTTTGAGGCCTATGTTGGAAAAGGAAGTATCTTCCCTTAAAAGCTATGCAGAAGCATTCTGAGAAACTTCCTTCTGATGTGTGCATTCATCTCACCTAGTTGAACCTTTCTTTTGGTTGTGCACTTTTGAAACACTCTTTTTGTGGAATCTGCAAGTGGATATCTGGATCACTTTGACGTCTATTGTGGAAAAGGAAATATCTTCACATAAAAACTACACAGAAGAATTCCGACATAGTTCTTTGTGATGTGTGCATTCAACTCACATAGTTGAAACCATCTCTTGATCGAGTAGTTTTGAACCTCTCTTGTTGTAGAATCTGAAAGTGGATATTTGTGTCCCCTGGCGGTCTATGGTGGAAAAGAAATATCTTCACAAAAATACTACACAGAAGCATTCTGAGAAACTTCTTTGTGATGTGTCCATTCATCTCACAGAGTTGAACCTTTCTTTTGATTGAGCAGTTTTGAAATACTCCTTTTGTAGAATCTGCAAGTGGATATTTTGAGTGCTTTGAGAACTATTGTGGAAAAGGAATTATCTTCTCATAAAACCTACACTGAAGGATTCTGAGAAATTTCTTGTGATGTGTGCATTCATCTCACAGAGTTGAACATTTCCTATGATTGAGCAGTTTGGAAATATTCTTTTCATAGAATCTGGAAGTGGATATTTGGAGCCCTTTGAGGCCTATTGTGGAAAAGGAAATATCTTCACATAAAAACTACAGAGAAGCATTCTGAGAAACTTCTTTGTGATGTGTGCATTCATCAAACAGAATTGAACATTTCTTTTTTTGTGCAGTTTTGAAACAATCTTCTTGTAGTATCTGCAAGTGGATATTTGGAGCGTTTTAAGACCTAAGGTGGGAAAGGAAATATCTTCACATAAAAATTACACAGAGAGATTCTGAGAAACTTCTTTGTGATGTGTGCATTCATCTCATATATTTGAACCTTTCTTTTCATTGTGCAGTTTCCAAGCAATCTTTTTCTAGAATATGTAAGTGGATATTTGGAGCACTTTGTGGACTATGGAGGGAAAAGAAATGTCTTCACATAAAAACTACACAGAAGCATTGGGAGAAAATTCTTGTGATATTTGTGTTCAACCCACAAAGTTGAACATATTGTTTGATAGAGCAGTTGTGAAACTCTCTTTTTGTAGAATCTGCAAGTGGGTATTTGGAGCCCTTTGTGGCCCATGGTAGAAAAGGAACTATCTTCACAGAAAAACTACCCAGAAGCATTTTGAGAAACTTCTTTGTGATTTGTGCACTCATCTCACGGTGTTGAAACTTTATTTTTATTGAGCAATTTTGAACATTCCTTTTTATAGAATCTACAAGTGGATATTTGGAGTGGTTTGAGACCTATGGTAGAAAAAGAACTATCTTCACCGAAAAACCACACAGAAGCATTTTGAGAAGCTTCTTTTTGATGTATGCATTCAACTCACAGAGACGAACTGATCTTTTGATAGAGCAGTTTTGAAACTCACTTTTGTAGAATCTGCAGGTGGATATTTGGAGTACATTGCGGTCTATGGTGAAAAAGGAACTATCTTCGCATGAGAACCAGGCAGAAACATTCTGAGAAACTAGTTTGTGATGTGTGCATTCATCTCACAGAGTTGAAATCATTTTTTGATTTGAGTAGTTTGGAAACACTCTTTTTGTGGAATCTCTAAGGGCATATTTGAAGCGTTTTGCACGCTGTTGTGGAAAAGGAAATATCTTCACATAAAAACTACACAGAAGCATTCTGAGAAACTACTTTGTGATGTGGGCATTCATGTCACAGTTTTGAACCTTCCATTTGATTGAGCAGTTTTGAAATACTCGTTTGGTAGAATGTACAAGTGAATATTTGGAGCACTTTGAGGCCTATGATAGAAACGGAAATATGTTTACATAAAAACTACACAGAAGCATGCTGAGAAACCTCTTTGTGATGTGTGTATTCACCTCCGGGAGTTCAACCTATCATTTGACAGAGCGGTTTTGAAACTCTTTTTGTAGAATCTCCAAGTGGATATTTGGAGCCCTTTGCATTCTATTGTGAAAAGGAAATATCTTCACATCAAAACTACACAGACGCATTCTGAGAAACTTCTTTGTGATGTTTGCTTTCAACTCACAGAATTGAACCTTTTGTTTGAGTAGTTTTGAAACTCTCTTTTTGTAGAATCTAGAAGTGGATATTTAGAACGCTTGGAGGCCTATGGTGCAAAAACGAATAACTTCACACAAAAAATACACAGAAGCATTCTGAGAAACTTCTTTACGATGTCTGCATTCACCTCACAGATTTGAATGTCTCTTTTGATTGAGCAGTTTGGAAGCACTCTTTCGGTAGAATCTGCAAGTGGATATGGAGAGAGCTTTGAGGCCTGTTGTGGAAAACTAAATGTCTTCATATAAAAGCTACACAGAAGCATTCTGAGAAACTCCTTTGTTATGTGTGCATTCATCTCACAGAGTTGAACCTTTCTTTTGATTCGGCAGTTTTGAAACACGGTTTTTGTAGAATCTTCAAGTGGATATTTGGAGCACTTTTCTGCCTATTGTGTAAAAGGAAATATCTTTACGTAAGAACTACACAGAAGCATTCTGAGAAACTTCTTTGTGATGTTCTTAACTCACAGCGTTAAACTTACCTTTGGTAGAGCAGTTTTGAAACTCTCTTTTTGTGGAAAATGTAAGTGGGTATTTAGAGCCATTTGTGGCCTATGGTGGAAAGGAAAATATCTTCACATAAAAACTACACAGAAGCATTCTGAGAAACTACCTTTTGATGTGTGTATTTGTCTCAGACTGGAACCTTCCTTTTGATTGAGCAGTTCTGAAACACTCTTTTTGTAGAATCTGGAAGTGCATATTTGGAGTGCTTTGAGGCCTATGGTGGAAAAAGAAATATCTTCATTTAAAAACTACACAGAAGCATTCTGAGAAACTTCTTTGTGATGTGTGTATTCATACCACAGAGTCGAAACTATCGTTTGAGAGAGCATTTCGAAACTTTCTTTTTGTAGGATCTGCAAGTGGATATTTGGAGGGCTTTCAGGCCTATGGTGGAAAAGGAAATATCTTCACATAAACACTACTCAGAAGCATTCTGAGAAACTTCTTCACGATGGTTGCACTAAACTCTCAGAGTTGAACTTATCTTTTGATAGAGCAGTTTTGAAACTCTGTGTTACTAGAATCTGCATGTGGTTATTTGGAGTCCTTTGTGGCCGATGGTGGAAAAGGAAATATCTTCCCCTAAAAAGTACACAGAAGCATTCTGAGAAACTTTTTTGACATGTGTGCACTAATCTCACAGAGTTTAATCTATCATTTGATTGAGCAGTTTTAAAAAACTTTTTTTGTGGAATCTGCAATTGGATATTTGGAACGCTTTGAGGCCTATTGTGGAAAAGGCAATATCTTCACATAAAAACTACACAGAAACATTCCGAGAAACTTCTCTGTGATGTGTGCACTCATCTCACGGAGTTGAACCTTTCTTTGATTGACAAGTTTTGAAAGACTATGTTTCTATAATGTGCAAGTGGATATTTGGAGTGCTTTGAGGCATATGGTGGAAAAGGAAATATATTCACATAAAACTATACAGAAGCGTTCCCAGAAACTTATTTGTGATGTGTTTATTCAACTCGCAGAGTTGACCCTATCTTTTGATACAGCAGTTTTGAAACTCTCTTTTTGTAGAATCTGCAAGTGGATATTTGCAGCGCTTTGAGGCCTGTGGTGGAAAAGGAAATATCTTCACATAAAAACTACACAGAAGCATTCTCAGTAACTTCTTTGTAATGTGTGCATTCACCTCACAGACTTGAAACTTCCTCTTGATTGAGCAGCTTGGAAACACACTTTTAGTGAAATCTGCAAGTGGATATTTGGAGCACCTTGAGGCCTGTTGTGGAAAAGGAAATATCTTCACATAAAAACTACACAGAAGCATTCCAATAAACTTGTTTGTGATATGTACCTTCAACTGACAGATTTGAACCTTTCTTTTGATTAAATAGTTTTGAAAATCTCTTTTTGTAGAATCTGCAAGTGGATATTTGGAGTGCTTTGAGGCCTATGGTGGAAAAGGAAATATCTTCATATGAAAACTACACAGAAGCATTCTGAGAAAATTCTTTGTGATGTGTGCATTCAAACCACAGACTTGAACTGATCTTTTGATAGAGCAGTTTTTAAAGTGTCTTTCTGTAGAATCTGCAAGTGGATATTTGGAGTGCTTTGAGGCCTATGGTGGAAAAGGAAATATCTTTACATAAAAACTACACAGAAGCATTCTGAGAAACTACTTTGTGATGTGTGCATTCATATCACATAGTTGAACCTATCTTTTGATAGAGCACTTTTGAAACTCTCTTTTTGTAGAATCTGCAAGTGGATATTTGGAGCCCTTTGCAGCCTATGGTGGAAAAGGAAACATCTTCACATAAAAACTACACAGAAGCATTCTCAGAAACTACTTTGTGATGTGTGCGTTCAGCTCACAGACTTGAAACTTCCTCTTGATTGAGCAGTTTGGAAACACTCTTTAGTAAAATCTGCAAGTGGATATTCGGAGCACTTTGAGGCCTGTTGTGGAGAAGGAAATATCTTCACATAAAAACTACACAGACGCATTCCGAGAAACTTGTTTGTGATATGTGCATTCAACTGACAGAGTTGAACCTTTCTTTTGATTGACTAGTTTTGAAAATCTCTTTTTGTAGAATCTGCAAGTGGATATTTGGAGTGCTTTGAGGCCTATGGTGGAAAAGGAAATATCTTCATATGAAAACTACACAGAAGCATTCTGAGAAAATTCTTTGTGATGTGTGCATTCAAACCACAGACTTGAACTGATCTTTTGATAGAGCAGTTTTTAAAGTGTCTTTCTGTAGAGTCTGCAAGTGGTTACTTGGAGACCTTTGTGGAAGATGGTGGAAAAGGAAATATCTTCCCGTAAAAACTACACAGATGCATTCTGAGAAACTTCTTTGTGATGTGTGCATTCATCTCACAGAGTTCAACCTATCTTTTCATAGAGCAGTTTTGAAACTCTCTTTTCCTAGAATCTGTAAGTTGATATTTGGAGCCCTTTGCGGCCTATTGTGGAAAAGGAAATAACTTCACATGAAAACTACACAGAAGCTGAGAAACTTCTTTGTGATGTGTGCATTAATTTCCCAGAGTCGAACCTTTCTTTTGATTGAGCAGTTTTGAAACACTCTTTTTGTAGAATCTGCAAGTGGACATTTGAAGCACTTTGAGGCCTATTGTTGAAAAGGAAACATCTTCATATAAAAACAACAAGGAAGCATTCTGAGAAACCATTTTGTGCTGTGTGCATTCACCTCACAGAGTTCAACTTTATTTGATACAGCAGTTTTGAAACACTCTTCTTGTGGAATCTGCAAGTGGAAATTGGGAAATATTTAGGCATATGGTGGAAAAGGAAACATCCGCACATAAAAACTACACAGACACATTCTGTGAAACTTCTTTGTGCTGTGTGCCTTCAAACCACAGAGTTGAACCTATCTTTTGAATGAGCAGTTTTGAAACTCTCTTTTCATAGTATCTGCAAGTGGATATTGGAGCCTTTTGTGGCTACGGTGGGAAAGGAAATATCTTCATATAAAAACTACACAGAAGCATTCTGAGAAACTTCTCAGTGATGTGAGCATTCTTCTCACAGAGTTGAACTATCTTTTGATTGAGCAGTTTTGAAACACTGTTTTTTTTAGAATCTGCAAGTGAATATTTGGAGCCTTTTGGGTCTTATTGTGGAAAAGGAAATATCTTCACATAAAAACTACACAGAAGCATTCTGAGAAACTTCTTTGTCATGTGTGGATTCATCTCACAGAGTTAAATCTTTCTTTTGATTGAGCAGTTTGCAAACACTCTTTTTGTGGTATCTCCAGGAGGATATTTGGAGTGCTTTGAGGCCTATGTTGGAAAAGGAAGTATCTTCCCTTAAAAGCTATGCAGAAGCATTCTGAGAAACTTCCTTCTGATGTGTGCATTCATCTCACCTAGTTGAACCTTTCTTTTGGTTGTGCACTTTTGAAACACTCTTTTTGTGGAATCTGCAAGTGGATATCTGGATCACTTTGACGTCTATTGTGGAAAAGGAAATATCTTCACATAAATACTACACAGAAGAATTCCGACATAGTTCTTTGTGATGTGTGCATTCAACTCACATAGTTGAAACCATCTCTTGATCGAGTAGTTTTGAACCTCTCTTGTTGTAGAATCTGAAAGTGGATATTTGTGTCCCCTGGCGGTCTATGGTGGAAAAGAAATATCTTCACAAAAATACTACACAGAAGCATTCTGAGAAACTTCTTTGTGATGTGTCCATTCATCTCACAGAGTTGAACCTTTCTTTTGATTGAGCAGTTTTGAAATACTCCTTTTGTAGAATCTGCAAGTGGATATTTTGAGTGCTTTGAGAACTATTGTGGAAAAGGAATTATCTTCTCATAAAACCTACACTGAAGGATTCTGAGAAATTTCTTGTGATGTGTGCATTCATCTCACAGAGTTGAACATTTCCTATGATTGAGCAGTTTGGAAATATTCTTTTCATAGAATCTGGAAGTGGATACTTGGAGCCCTTTGAGGCCTATTGTGGAAAAGGAAATATCTTCACATAAAAACTACAGAGAAGCATTCTGAGAAACTTCTTTGTGATGTGTGCATTCATCAAACAGAATTGAACATTTCTTTTTTTGTGCAGTTTTGAAACAATCTTCTTGTAGTATCTGCAAGTGGATATTTGGAGCGTTTTAAGACCTAAGGTGGGAAAGGAAATATCTTCACATAAAAATTACACAGAGAGATTCTGAGAAACTTCTTTGTGATGTGTGCATTCATCTCATATATTTGAACCTTTCTTTTCATTGTGCAGTTTCCAAGCAATCTTTTTCTAGAATATGTAAGTGGATATTTGGAGCACTTTGTGGACTATGGAGGGAAAAGAAATGTCTTCACATAAAAACTACACAGAAGCATTGGGAGAAAATTCTTGTGATATTTGTGTTCAACCCACAAAGTTGAACATATTGTTTGATAGAGCAGTTGTGAAACTCTCTTTTTGTAGAATCTGCAAGTGGGTATTTGGAGCCCTTTGTGGCCCATGGTAGAAAAGGAACTATCTTCACAGAAAAACTACCCAGAAGCATTTTGAGAAACTCCTTTGTGATTTGTGCACTCATCTCACGGTGTTGAAACTTTATTTTTATTGAGCAATTTTGAACATTCCTTTTTATAGAATCTACAAGTGGATATTTGGAGTGGTTTGAGACCTATGGTAGAAAAAGAACTATCTTCACCGAAAAACCACACAGAAGCATTTTGAGAAGCTTCTTTTTGATGTATGCATTCAACTCACAGAGACGAACTGATCTTTTGATAGAGCAGTTTTGAAACTCACTTTTGTAGAATCTGCAGGTGGATATTTGGAGTACATTGCGGCCTATGGTGAAAAAGGAACTATCTTCGCATGAGAACCAGGCAGAAACATTCTGAGAAACTAGTTTGTGATGTGTGCATTCATCTCACAGAGTTGAAATCATTTTTTGATTTGAGTAGTTTGGAAACACTCTTTTTGTGGAATCTCTAAGGGCATATTTGAAGCGTTTTGCACGCTGTTGTGGAAAAGGAAATATCTTCACATAAAAACTACACAGAAGCATTCTGAGAAACTACTTTGTGATGTGGGCATTCATGTCACGGTTTTGAACCTTCCATTTGATTGAGCAGTTTTGAAATACTCGTTTGGTAGAATGTACAAGTGAATATTTGGAGCACTTTGAGGCCTATGATAGAAACGGAAATATGTTTACATAAAAACTACACAGAAGCATGCTGAGAAACCTCTTTGTGATGTGTGTATTCACCTCCGGGAGTTCAACCTATCATTTGACAGAGCGGTTTTGAAACTCTTTTTGTAGAATCTCCAAGTGGATATTTGGAGCCCTTTGCATTCTACTGTGAAAAGGAAATATCTTCACATAAAAACTACACAGACGCATTCTGAGAAACTTCTTTGTGATGTTTGCTTTCAACTCACAGAATTGAACCTTTTGTTTGAGTAGTTTTGAAACTCTCTTTTTGTAGAATCTAGAAGTGGATATTTAGAACGCTTGGAGGCCTATGGTGCAAAAACGAATAACTTCACACAAAAAAATACACAGAAGCATTCTGAGAAACTTCTTTACGATGTCTGCATTCACCTCACAGATTTGAATGTCTCTTTTGATTGAGCAGTTTGGAAGCACTCTTTCGGTAGAATCTGCAAGTGGATATGGAGAGAGCTTTGAGGCCTGTTGTGGAAAACTAAATGTCTTCATATAAAAGCTACACAGAAGCATTCTGAGAAACTCCTTTGTTATGTGTGTATTCATCTCACAGAGTTGAACCTTTCTTTTGATTCGGCAGTTTTGAAACACGGTTTTTGTAGAATCTTCAAGTGGATATTTGGAGCACTTTTCTGCCTATTGTGTAAAAGGAAATATCTTTACGTAAGAACTACACAGAAGCATTCTGAGAAACTTCTTTGTGATGTTCTTAACTCACAGCGTTAAACTTACCTTTGGTAGAGCAGTTTTGAAACTCTCTTTTTGTGGAAAATGTAAGTGGGTATTTAGAGCCATTTGTGGCCTATGGTGGAAAGGAAAATATCTTCACATAAAAACTACACAGAAGCATTCTGAGAAACTACCTTTTGATGTGTGTATTTGTCTCAGACTGGAACCTTCCTTTTGATTGAGCAGTTCTGAAACACTCTTTTTGTAGAATCTGGAAGTGCATATTTGGAGTGCCTTGAGGCCCATGGTGGAAAAAGAAATATCCTCCTTGTGAAACTTCTTTGTGCTGTGTGCATCAAACCACAGAGTGACCTATCTTTGATGAGCAGTTTGAAACTCTCTTTTCATAGTATCTGCAAGTGGATATTTGGAGCCTTTTGTGGCCTACGGTGGGAAAGGAAATATCTTCATATAAAAACTACACAGAAGCATTCTGAGAAACTTCTCAGTGATGTGAGCATTCTTCTCACAGAGTTGAACTATCTTTTGATTGAGCAGTTTTGAAACACTGTTTTTTTTAGAATCTGCAAGTGAATATTTGGAGCCTTTTGGGTCTTATTGTGGAAAAGGAAATATCTTCACATAAAAACTACACAGAAGCATTCTGAGAAACTTCTTTGTCATGTGTGGATTCATCTCACAGAGTTAAATCTTTCTTTTGATTGAGCAGTTTGCAAACACTCTTTTTGTGGTATCTCCAGGAGGATATTTGGAGTGCTTTGAGGCCTATGTTGGAAAAGGAAGTATCTTCCCTTAAAAGCTATGCAGAAGCATTCTGAGAAACTTCCTTCTGATGTGTGCATTCATCTCACCTAGTTGAACCTTTCTTTTGGTTGTGCACTTTTGAAACACTCTTTTTGTGGAATCTGCAAGTGGATATCTGGATCACTTTGACGTCTATTGTGGAAAAGGAAATATCTTCACATAAAAACTACACAGAAGAATTCCGACATAGTTCTTTGTGATGTGTGCATTCAACTCACATAGTTGAAACCATCTCTTGATCGAGTAGTTTTGAACCTCTCTTGTTGTAGAATCTGAAAGTGGATATTTGTGTCCCCTGGCGGTCTATGGTGGAAAAGAAATATCTTCACAAAAATACTACACAGAAGCATTCTGAGAAACTTCTTTGTGATGTGTC
>NC_000024.10:9112715-9114319 GCF_000001405.40 Homo sapiens | reverse complement strand
AAATACGACAAAATTAGCTGGGCGTGGTGGCAGTCACATGACATTCCAGGTACTCTTGAGGTCGAAGCAGGAGAATCCTTTGAACCTGAGAGCCAGAGGTTGCACTGGGCTGAGATCACACCATTGCACTCCAGCCAAGGTGACAGGGCAGGACTCTGTCTAAAAAAAAAAAAAGGAAAAGAAATAGGATCCAAAGAGAACCAAAAAGCCACAGGCTGAAAAATGACTTGAATGCAAAATATACAAAGAAACTCTAAAACTGAAGAATATAACACAATTAAAAGGAAAATACCTGAATAGATACCTCACTTAAGGAAGATAATGGAGGTGGAAAACAGGCACACAAAACATTGCTCACTGATCTCCTGCTGCTTCTGCTGAAGGCTGAGGTTCCATGCCCCTAAAGAGCAGCAGTGTCTGCCAGAGCAGCAGTGGCTCCAAAGGCTATCCCCACATACCCCAGCTCTGCCCTTTCTCCAGGGCCCAAGAGTCCCCCAGGCACTGGTGATGCTCTCCTGAAATGAGATGGAAGCTGGATGTTTCATTTCTCAGCTTTTCTTAAAGTTCTAGAGGCTGCCAAGTATCCTTAGGTTGGAAGATTTATTTTTATCCTAACAGCCTTGAGGCACTTATAAGTATTAGAAGGTTGGTTTTCAACCCAAACTTTCCTCCATAAAGGGATAAAATAACTGACTCAGCTGGGCACAGTGGCTCATGCCTGTAATCCCAGCACTTTGAAATGCTGAGGAGGGTGGATCACCTGTCAATTGTCTGAGACAACACTGGCCAATATGGGGAAACAGTGTCTCTACTAAAAATAAAATTAAAAAAATAGATGAGTGTGGTGGTAGTCTCCTGTAATTGTAACTACTCAGGAGGCTGAGATAGGAGAATTGCATGAACCCAGGAGGCAGAGGTTGCAGTGAGCCAAGATTGCACCGTTGTATTCCAGCCTGGGTGAGAGGGAAAAATATCCCACACAAACAACTTGTGCTAAAGAATTCCTGTTGCTCCCTTAACACCAGTAAAATAATCACTTGACTGAAAGTGTTCTCTATATTATGAC
Organism: Homo sapiens; assembly: GCF_000001405.40. Classification (NCBI taxonomy): domain Eukaryota; kingdom Metazoa; phylum Chordata; class Mammalia; order Primates; family Hominidae; genus Homo; species Homo sapiens. The sequence goes on along the minus strand of NC_000024.10, from coordinate 9,113,253 downwards.
GCATCAGATTAATTCACCACATTGTCTCATTAGCTAGAGTTTACTATCTCCTTCTAGTAACCATAAAATTAGAACAAATAACAGGATAAATGATTATGTGTACTAGCATTTTTTTTTTAAGTTTTTACTAGGTAGAGCTTAGAGTGCATATTTTTAAAATTCTTTCTCTTTGGCACAGCACATGCATGCTTTTTGGCAGCAGTCATAGAATAATGAACAAACAATAACAATGAAATAATGCCAAAAATCACTTGCTGTCAGGGGAAAGCAAATTAACAATGAGAGCACTGAACATCTATAATATTATAATATGTCTAAAATTTTTTTAAATGCAATGAAAACGGTGAAAGGAATGCTTGTTCTTTGCTGGTGGAATGCATAATTGTACAGCAAAGTTAAAAGATATTATTTCTTCTGCCACAATTTTGGCAGTTTTTTTTTTCCAAAGCTAAACATAGCCTCACCATATAGGCTAACATTTGCAGACTTAAGTATTTAGACAACAACTTTGGAAACTCACATTTAACCAAAAACCACA
>NC_000024.10:9107608-9111868 GCF_000001405.40 Homo sapiens | reverse complement strand
TTTTCTCCAAAGATACACAAATAGCACATGAAAATATGTTCAAAATCACTCACCTCAGGGAAACACAAGTCAAAGCCGCAGGAAAATGTCACTTCATATCCATTATAATTGCTATTATTAAAGAAAAGCTAACAAGGATTTACATGAAAATGGAGAAATGTGAATGTAAAATTGTGCAGTTGCTGTGGAAAATAGTTTGGTGTTTCTTCAAAAAGCTAAACACAGAATTACCATAGAACCCAGCAAATCCACTCCCAGATATATACACAAAAGAACATAAAATGGGTATTCAAACAAAAACGTGTACACGTATGTTCATAGCAGCATTATTCACAATAACTAAAAGTAGAAACAAACCAAATGTCTACCAACAAGTAATAAGAAAACAAAATTTAGTATTCCCATACAATGGCATAATATTGAGCTGTAAAAGATATTGCAACTCTAATACTACAATGTGGAGGAACTTCATAACCATTTTGGTTAAAGAAGCTGAACATAAATGGTCACATACTCTATGATTTCATTTATATAAATATCCAGAATAGGTAAGTAGATAGAGACAAAAAGCAGATTACTGGTTGCTAGGGGTCAGAAAAAAAGGACAGATTGGGAAGTACCTCTTTAGTAGGTAGGGGATTTCCTTTTGGGATAATAAAAATTGGAACTAAGAGGTGGTAGTTGCCCAGAAATGTGCATGTACTAAAGGTCACTGAATTATTCATCTAGAAAGTTAATTTTATGTTATGGAAATTTTACCTCGATAAAAAGACAAAATTCCTTTCCCAGCATTCTCCAACCAGGGTGAGCTCTCTCCATGGGGTGCCATCACCTTGGGGTTCAAGTCCCTCCACAGTCCAGAATGGCCTGGAGCCTGGCCAAACCCATTCTGGACACATACTCCAGCCACACTGTCCACCAGCTCCTAGACCTGTTAACAGTGGAAGATATCTGAGTTACTGGTGGCGAATCCATCCAGGTCTGCAGTAACCACAATTCTTGCCTTCTCAGAAGAAAGACTTTGACTGAGGACTATAAAGCAGCAAAAGATACTAAGGGAAGTTTCACAGCAGGAGAGGACGTTTATTAAAAAGTGATCTCTGAAAGTCATACGCTGAGGGTTTGTCTCTTAATGTGTATGCCTGAGCTCACTTGCCCAATAACTGAGATTTTATTGGAAGCCCTTTTTTCTTCTCCCTGGTGCCTGCATTTAATTAACACTTTAATGTTAACAGCTGTGGATCAGTAGAAGCTTGTACCTCTCTGGCTCCAGCTGCTAAATTATCATTTTTAGAGAGGCAATATGAAAACTGTCCAACCATCACCCAATGACCTGACATTCCTGGTAGGTGGGTGGGAGGGGAGAAACCTCTCCTGCCCCACTCATTTCTGTGTAACTATCTGTAACAGACCAACTAACTGGCCATTTCCAACCCCAGGTCACTTTTCCTCTGCTGCCTTCACAGACAGCCAGTGATCAGTGATACCTCCTCAGGGTTTACAAGGTCTTCTGAATCTTTTTCTGCTGTACTCCAGACCTCAACACTTAATATCCATGGTTTGTCCCATTTCAACAAATTTAAATTAGCTTTTTCTGAGCACCACCACAGGCAGCTGTCTTGCTCAGGTGAACTAACAGCAACTCTGCAAGAAATGGGTCATCCCATGTGCAAAGGGACAGCCAGGATCAGGTGACTGAGTGACTTACCTGTAATCACACAGCATCCAAGTGGACTCATACTCAGTTTCCAGCCCACAGCCAGGTCTCCAGGTGTCATTTAGAAAAAGTTTGTGAGTCACATGAACATGTATCCAGGACACACCCAGACTTCTTTTTATCAACGATGATGAGCTCTATCTTCTGGGACAATGGGTGTCAAGACCCACCCAGTCTTCTTTCCCCCATCCAGAGCCAATGTAGGTATCTGATACTCATTAGGTAACAGAATCTTTTCCCAAAATCCTTTCATATGTAGGGTTTTTGGAGGGGATTGTGTAACACACAGGTCAGAGAATGCAAGTTTAGAGAGGGCATCAGAGCAAGCACATGGAGAAAAAGCTGGTGACTTCAAATGTAAAGAAAGGGCAGTGTGCTAAAAAGTTACTGCACTGAAGTGTGAAGGAGACAAGGGATGATTATGACTAAAGTAGGGGAAGCAGGAGAGAAAGCAGGGAATAGATCAAACACTTAGGACAAGAATCAGTGGTTCCTTATTAAAGTCAGTTCATACCTACCAGGACATGATGTGGCCACTGTACTCATAAAATGAACCATGAGAAATGAAGACAAGTTCACAGGCTATATACATAAAAAATGTTCATGGTAGTCCCATGTATACTAGTCCCAACTGAGAGCCCCAAACCCTCATCCACAGGAGAAGGGTGAACAAGCTGTAGCATATCCACACCCTGGAATGTGGCTCAGCATGCAAAGGAATGGATTGCTTATGCACTCACCACAGGGTGACTCTCAAAGCAGCAGTGCTGAATAAAAGGAGCCAAATCAGAACAAAACACGGAGACCCAAAGACTTACCATATCTACCTGAAACTCTATAAAATTCAGCTAAAGTTTAGTAACAGAAGCAGATCTGTGGTCCAAGGGTGGCCAGGGAGAGATCAGTATGGGTCAGAGTAGAATATGTTTTCATGAGCTTCATCAAGGTGTGGCCTTGTGGTGGATGGAATACTCCCATGGAGAAAATCATTACTTCTTCTATTTGAGGGACTGCTCCCCCTCAAATCCTATGTCTTCCACAATTCTGTCCTTACTGGGAAACTGACTTGAGCCAACCTGGTCTCAGCTCCTACACAAGAGAGACACCCATTCCCTGGGAATCTGGTTCTGGTGGCCCATAATAAACACTGGCCTGGAGGGAGAAGCACAGCTCATGTGTGCTATAAGCAAGACTGTAAAGTACAGAAGTGGACACGGCCTTCAGCCCGATGGTCCCAGGTGACATGAACCAGGCTAAGAATTCATGGGTCTCAGCCTCCCTCTGTGAGAAAAGAAACTGTAACAACTGTACATATAAAAATTTTTCCAGGATTCCAGAGGCAGTACCCAGTTTTTCAGGACTACCCTAACCCTAAACCTAACTGTAACATTAACCTTACCCCAACCCCTACCCCTAAACCTAACCAAAAAACCCTAGATCTAACAGCAAGCCTAAACTCCAACCTCAACCCCAACATCAACACTATGCCTAATCTTAATGCCTAACCCCTCACACAAACCAAAAACCAAAACCCAATCCCAACACTAAATCCTAATGCTGACACCTGAACCTGACCCTGACCCTGATAATAACCATAACTCAGCAGCAACCCAAACATACCATGAACTGAACCCAAAACCCAACCATAAAACCCAAACCCTAACCCCAAAAAACTAACCCTAACCATAAAACAATAACTAACCCATCTCTACCAATACTCCCTTAAAACCTAATACTAGCACTAAAATCCTACCCCTAACACTAACCATAACCCCTAACACTTAATTCTACCCTAGCCACTAAACCTGAATCCCAAACCTGACACTAACACTAACCTAAGACTAACACTAGCCTCTAATGCTAACCCCACAACTCTAATTCTAGCCCTAAACATTACCCTAAACCTACACCTACACCAACCTCAAACCCAAAGCCAAACCTAACCTTGTTACCTAAACCCAATCCATAATTCTAGTACTAATCCTTAGACCAACCCTAAACCTAAACCTAAAATTAAACCCTAGCCCTGAGCCTAACCACTAACAGTGACTTTAACCCTAATGTTACCCAAATATCTACCCTAACCATAAACCTAACACTAACCCTAACCAATAATGCTAACCCTAACTGTAATCATAATATTGAACATAACCTTAACCCCTTAACCTAAACCTAAACACTAACCATAACCAAAACCATAAAGCCTAACCCTGCCACCACCATAACTCTAATAATGACCTTATACAATAATTCTAAACTTAAACCTAATCCTAACCCCAGGCTCTCACCATAAAACTAAGACACGGAACGTCAAACTCAATAAAAACCCAAATACTAAAAATAAGCCCTAACCCTAACACTAAACCCTGAGACTAATCCTAAATCCTAGAACTAACCCTAATCTTAAGACCTAAACAAAACCATCTGACCCTAACAATAATCCTAAACCTACAATTTACCATATCCAATAACCTAATCCTCACCCTTACCCTAAATACTAACCCTAATGCCTAACCCTAATCCTAACCTTGAAACCCTAACCC
>NC_000024.10:9055174-9057608 GCF_000001405.40 Homo sapiens | reverse complement strand
TTGATTATAAAGCAAAGCATCTTTTCATCCTTAAAAACAGCAAAAAAAAAAAAAAAATGGGTTGGGTGTAGTCATATACACCTGTAATTCCAGTAACTTGGGAGGCCAATGTGGAAGGACCACCTGAGCTAAAGTGTTCAAAGGTGCAGTGAGCTATGATCACATTACCACGTTCCTGCCTGGGCAACAGAATAAGACTCTGTCTCAAAAAATAAAACAAAAAAAACAACAACAGTAATAATATTTTAAGAATAAATTTAACCAAGGAGCAAGACTTAGACATGGAAAATTACAAAATATTGCTGAAATAAATTCCAGAATCTGTGAATAGATGTGAAGACATTCCATGTTTCTGGATTAGAAGATAATTTTTTTAAGATGACAATAGTACACAAAGCAATCTAGAAATTCATTGTGATTTCTATGAAAATACCAAAGTTATTTTGACAGAAAGGGCAAGCCAGTCCTAACATTCATATAAATTTCAAGTGACCCTGAATAGTGAAAATAATCTTGAAAACAAAAACCAACTTGGAGTCTCACATTTCTCAATTTCAAATATTACTGAAAAGCAACAGTAAGAAAAACAGCATAATATTGGCATAAGGACACACATAGAGATCAATGAAACTGAATGTCAAGTCCAACTATACCTCTATGGTCAATTGATTTTGTAATTCAGTCAAGACCATAAAATTCAACAAATGCTGTTAGACAACAAACTAACCACATTCAGAAAAAAAATTGTATCTTTTCCTCATCAGTCAATGGTTCAAAAGCCTACCTATTAAAGGTAAAAACATAAACTCTAGAATAAAACTTAGGGATACTTCTTCATAACCTAGGACTTAGATCTGATACAAAAATCTTAGATCTGATACAGCCAACTAAAGAAAAAATTCCCTCAAAATAAAACATATTTTGCATTGAAAGACGGTATCAAGAAAGTGAAAAGACATGCCACAAAAAGGAAGATTTGCACTTTATTTACTTCACCAAAAATAAATGCAAGAGAAAACAACTACATAAAAAGATAAACAGTAAAATATTTAAGTTTTACACCATGAAGTGTTTCATATGTTAGCTTTTCTCATAGTTATGGGATTCTGTGTTGTAAAATTGGTCCTGTCTAGCTCCACCTGAGGTTGAGTCAAAGTAATAATATGGCTGGGTAGCAGGTTTCCGTGGATGAGAAAAGAAAATACCTGACAGGAAAGGATGTTCTGAAATGAAGACTTTTCTGCTTAACTAGAGTTTCCAATAAAGGTGACAGTTTGCCCCTCAGTCTCCATCGGTTAAGAATTTGCCATCCAGTAGGAAGTAAAAGAGAGAGCCTTAAGTTCATGGGGTGCATGGTTACACAACTGTCCCAAGTCCTGTACCAGAGCTGTGACATACTTACATTCCTTCTCAGAATTTCAATATATAAATATTAATAATTCACCTGCTTAAATGTCTAGGCTTACTTTATTACTTTAGGTTATACAGTTAAGGATGTTTAGAACCATTTATGTAGATTATCATGATGTGGGCTAGGACTTTTCATCAGTTAACTGCATTGATGGACTACATAAAATATAAGTATTTAAACATAAAATATCTTGTAAGTAGTAACACACAGTTGGAAAATATAGGAAGGTAATAGTCTCTCCAATAAATTCTTATGTTATTTCAATAATCAGTCTTGTCATTTGTCTTCAGCACTGAGCCTTTTTTTTACCTATTATCCCAAACATGGGCTTTTATTTTATTTACTATTATTTTCTTGATTTCTAAATTGAGAGTGATCTCATCAATGATCTAACAAATAACAAATCATTTCTTTATCTTTAGAAACATTACATTATTAACTTTTCTACAGTTAGATATCACAACTGATGTGACTTTAAGGATTCAGTTGGATAAATCCCTAGGAAATTAGATAAATTAGGTAAGGGTGGGCACTGGGTGAATGGATTGAGGATGCACACAAAATCCCCAAGACAATCAAGAGCCCCCAAAGTGGGAGCAGATGAGGCTGCAAACAGTTGAGCAGACTAAATGGGAGAGGGCAACAGGCAGGACCACTTGGGATCTGCAGCCATGTTGAGTTCTATGGTCCTTGTTGTAAGCTCAGTGGGAAGCTGTGTCCAGAATTGGTTCTTTCCACTAGGTTCTTGGTCTCACTGACTTCAAGAATGAAGCCACAGACCCTCACAGAGCATGTTACAGTTCTTAAAGATGATGTGTCTGGAGTTTGTTCCTTCAGATGTTCCGATGTGTGTGGGAGTATCTTTCTTCCGGTGGGTTCATGGTCTTACTGTCTTCAGGAGTGAAGCCACAGACCTTCACATTGAATGTTACAGCCCTTAAAGGTGGCATGTCCAGAGTTGCTTATTCTTCCCAGTGGGTTTGTGGTCTCACTGTCTTCAGGAATGAAGCCACAGACCCTCAC